>NC_000012.12:42460128-42611643 GCF_000001405.40 Homo sapiens | reverse complement strand
TTCATATAACCCAAGAACAGGAAGACAGCGAGGCCTCAGGAAGACTAGAACAGGGAGGGAAGAGGGGTGAAAGCTTTCTCCATGTCTCCTCACAACCCTTCACTTCATCCTTCTTAATGTGATGATACTTGTCCACCCAGTGAATATGAAATGGCTGCCCATAATTCCAAAGTTTCAGTCTCACAGAGAGACAGAGCTTCCTTAGAAACCCAGGGGAAAAAAAAAAAGTTCTAATTGGCCCAGGTGCACACCGTTGACCTAATCAGCCGTGGCCAGGGAGGGAAGGATCAGATTCCCATACTGAGAGGTGACAGCGTGCTGGCATCCCTCACAGCCCTTGCTCACTCTCGGGGCCTCCTCGGCCTGGGCTCCCACTCTGGCCACGCTTGAGGAGCCCTTCAGCCTGCTGCTGCACTGTGGGAGCCCCTTTCTGGGCTGGCAAGGGCAGGAGCCAGCTCCCTCAGCTTGCAGGGAGGTGTGGAGGGAGAGGCGCGGGCTAGAACGGGGGCTGCGCGCGGTGCTGGTGGGCCAGCATGAGTTCTGGGTGGGTGTGGGCTCAGGACCTGCAGCCCGCCATGCCTGAGCCTTCCCCCCAACCCACCCCCCGCCCCTACCGTGCGGCCAGAGCCTCCCTGACGAGTGCTGCCCCTGCTCCACGGTGCCCAGTCCCATCGACCACCCAAGGGCTGAGGAGTGCGAGCACACGGGGCAGGACTGGCAGGCAGCTCCACCTGCGGCCCTGGTGCAGGATCCACTGGGTGAAGCCAGCTGGGCTCCTGAGTCTGGTGGGGACTTGGAGAACCTATATGTCTAGCTAGGGGATTGTAAATACACCAATCGGCACTCTGTATCTAGCTCAAGGTTTGTAAACACACCAATCAGCACCCTGTGTCTAGCTCAGGGTTTGTGAATGCACCAATCGACACTCTGTGTCTAGCTACTCTGGTGAGGACTTGGAGAACCTTTGTGTCCACACTCTGTATCTAGCTAATCTAGTGGGGACGTGGAGAACCTTTGTGTCTAGCTCAGGGATTGTAAACGCACCAGTCAGTGCCCTCTCAAAACAGACCACTGGGCTCTCTGTAAAATGGACCAATCAGCAGGATGTGGGTGGGGCCAGATAAGAGAATAAAAGCAGGCTGCCAGAGCCAGCAGTGGCAACCCCCGCCAGTGGCCTTCCCCACTGTGGAAGCTTTGTTCTTTAGCTATTTGCAGTAAATCTTGCTGCTGCTCACTCTTTGGGTCCACACTGCCTTTATGAGCTGTAACACTCACTGTGAAGGTCTGCAGCTTCTCTCCTGAAGCCAGTGCGACCACGAACCACAGGGAGGAACGAACAACTCCAGACGTGCCGCCTTAAGAGCTGTAACACTCACCGCAAAGGTCTGCAGCTTCACTCCTGAGCCAGCGAGACCACGAACCCACCAGAGGGAAGAAACTCCAAGCACATTCGAACATCAGAAGGAAAAAACTCCGGACATGCAGCCTTTAAGAACTGTAACACTCACCGCGAGGGTCTACGGCTTCATTCTTGAAGTCAGTGAGACCAAGGACCCACCAATTCCGGACACAATATCACTGCTGGAAGCCCACCATTAAGAAAGGGTGATGCCGGGTGCAGTGGCTCACACCTGTAATCCCAGCACTTTGGGAGGCCAAGGAGAAAGAATCACTTAAGGCGAGGAGTTCAAGACCAGCCTGGACAACATAGCAAAGCCTTGTCTCTACAAAAAAAATTCAGAATTAGCTGGGCAACATAATGTACACCTGTAGTCTCAGCTACTCAGGAGGCCAAGGCAGGAGAATCCCTTGAGCCCAGGAGGTCGAGGCTACGGTGAGTCGTGATTGCGCCACTGCATTCCAGCCTGGTGATACAGCGAGACCCTGTTACTAAAATAAAAATAAAAATTTGTTTTTGAAAATAAAGGGTGAGAGAGTAGTCACATACTGGGAAGATACAGGATAATAGTGACCACCGAGTGACTGAACAGGGAACACTAAACTAGGAAATGGGGTGGGATGACAGGACGTGAAAAACCAGCATTATTTTAGCCATTAGAAAAAAAAATTGTGACCAACGAAGCTTAAATAAGTGTAAACCATCTAGAATCCCAACATAATAGAAAGATTAAATGTGTAACTTGGGGACCTATAAAGAAGCACCCTTTTTCTCTCCTCAGAAATCCGCTGGAAAATGATCCCACTAAATTATAATTCACATGGAGTAAGGCTTCTTAAACGCTCTGATAATTTTTTTTTTTTGTAAACTTTCTGTGAGAATTTGTGTCAGTGAAGAGGAGTGAGAAGAAAAGGTCTGATTGAGATGTAGCGAGTGATTTCCTTCAGTTGTGCCCCACAGACCCAGGAGAGAGAACTGCTCCTTCGGGCCATCAGAAAGCCTGTGTCATCAGCAGAAGCAGCACCACCTCAATCTGTTTTTTTGGCTGTGGTTCCTTTAGCCTAAAGAACAATTTAAAGCCAGGCTCTCAGTAAAGGCAGCTCCTACTACTCACCATCTTCCAGACCAGAAATCCAGCGTCCTGGGTGTTGTAAAGTTCCTGAGTGTCTGTGACACATCACTGCAGCTACTCTGTCTCCTAAATATCAATAGGATGTTGAGAAAATAAAGTGTCTGCGAAAGTGAAGGATGCACAACATGCAACACAAGGCTGGAAGCTCAGGTCGATTTTACCTAAGAGTCCATCACAGGCTGAAACCCACAGGCCAGGGCCCAGCTGTGAAACCAGGCAGAGCCTCCCGGGTATGTTGTTGTTGTTGTTGTTTGTTTGTTTGTTTGTTTGTTTGTTTAAAGGCATGATCGGCCTAAAACTATCTCTGGGGACCAACATGAAATCTAATAGTGTACAATTTAATATATATAAAACATAGTTCATCTTGGAATAGTGTCTACAATTAGAGCTATTTAACAAGAAGTCAGCAACTAGCAAACAGCGTTAAGAGCTTAGCTTCGGGCAAGTTTGCCAGATCTCCCACATAACTGCAGCCCACTCCCAGGACTCAGGAACGCTGATGTGTCACCTTCCTTCCCATCTGTCCCAGGGAACACTCATCCTCCATGAAAACGTGGCAGTAGCCGCAGAACTCCCTCTCTGCCTCTCCTCTTCTCTGCAAAGAACCTTAACTTAAACGGGAAAACAGCAGAGGAAGAAAGAGGAATTGATGGGAACAGGGCAAACATGAGCTCATTTAAAATGCAAGAATGATGTTGTTGACTTTAACTCCAAAGCGAAAGTCTGCAAATGACATCTCCAGTCAACTCAGTAATGCAAAACATGCATTCAAGTTGGTAAACTCCCTGTGAGGAAAGATGAACTTCACGGACTTACCGGACTTCTTGCCAAAGAGTTCTCCAAAGGCTCCAGAACCATTTTCTTTAATGGTAGTGTTACCAGAAAGGGGTCCCGATCCAGACCACCCCAAGAGAGGATTCTTGATCTCACGCAAGAAAGAATTCAAGGCGAATCCACAGAATAAAGTGAAAAAAAGTTTATTAAGAAAGTAAAGGAATAAAAGAATGGCTATTCCATAGGCAGAGCAGAGCTTGGGCTGCTGGACTAAGGACACTTATAGCTATTTCTTGATTACATGCTAAACAAGGGGTGGATTATTCATGAGTTTTCTGGGAAAGGGAAATTCCCAGAATGGAGGGTTCCTCCCCTTTTTAGACTCTACAAGGTAACTTCCAGATGTTGCCATGGCATCTGTAAACTGCCATGGCGCTGGTGGGAGTGTCCGTTAACATGCTAGTGCATTATAATTAGCATGTAATGAGCAGTGAGGGCGACTAGAGGTCACTGTCATCTCCATCTTGGTTTTGGTGGGTTTTGGCTGGCTTCTTTAATGCAACCTGTTTTATCAGCAAGGCCTTTGTGACCTTTATCTCCTGCCGACCTCCTATCTCATCCTGTGACTAAGAATGCCTGTCTCAGGGAAATGCAGCCCAGTGGGTCTCAGCCTCATTTTACCCAGCCACTATTCAAGATGGAGTTGCTCTGGTTCGAATGCCTCTGACAGTAATATGAGCCTCAGAGCCTTATTAAATACTGACAAGATTTCAGCTCCTGCCACCTTCACCCTTTTGGGGAGTATCAGAGTTACTCAAAATCAAATATGTTCTCCAGCTCAGAAGCCTCATTCCTTCCTTTGATCAGTTAGTCATTCGTTATTAAATACTTTTTTTTCCTAGTATCTACTAGATCCCAGACACTTTAATGGACGCTGGGGACACGGCAATGAATAAGACATAGACCTTACTCTTAAGGCTTTCAGTGGATGAAGGAAAAACAATGATAGAAACAGTATGCATTGGCTGCTTGGAATCCCCTTGAAACTTGAAATCATGCATGGTAGCTCCTAACCCTACTGAGCAGTGTGTGGCACGACATTCTCCACCCACTTCCTATAGTCAACTGGTTTCAGTGTTGAAAAAGATGAGTGTTTTCTGACAGTGGAAGTACCAATAAGAAGGTAAAATATCACCCAATGTATAAGGAAATTTGAGGGAAAAAAGTAAATAAATTACAATCTTTGGAGAGAAGAGCCAGGCTACAGAAGCACCAAACAAGGAAACAAAATTTTTTCAAATGAAATGTCTAAGATTGAAAGAGTAAGTTTTAGCAATTAAGCACATGCCTACAAGCCAGAATGCCAGGATTTGGGTAGAGTAACGGACAGTCAAACATGTACTCCTAAGCCATACATTGGTTACTTACTTAAAATCTCCCTTACTTAAAATCTCCCCTAGCTTCCTGTTACTCACTTAACAAACTCTAAGTACACATACTCACACATATAGTTCATTCATTCAGCAGAACCTCTAATATGCTATGCAACATTGTAAGCAATGATCCCTGTCCTCAAGAATCTCAGTCTACATGAGAACACAAATTTTTTAAAATGCAATATAATGTCCTCAGAGCCATAGTCACATTACGTACATTGTGCCAAAGAAGTACAATGAACAGAGCCAAATTCTCTCCCAGGGTAGAAGGGAAGTAAGAGCAGGCTTTACAGAGAATAGATATTCACATAACACTTGAAGAATAAGTGGGAATTCTGAAAGAGATAGAGGAAGAAAAAGCAATGAAGAAAATTAGGCAAAGCAAAGGGTTTGAAGTCTGATTGTACTTGCTATTGCCTATGGAATGATCCAGTTGTGAGATGGATCAGTCAGCCAACCTGCCCTGTATACACAGTCTGTACTGGGCAAGTATAACTCTGGGCTTCAGGAAATGAGAGGGTTTCTAGGAAAGTATTTATATTTGAGTCCTTTTCCTTTCGGGAGAAGATTGCTGAAAAGAATTGGATAGAAGAGAAAAACACTACATTCACCACTGACAATCATGTGTTTTGTATACCTATTGTAGCTTATGATTTTATCAATATATTTATCAATGTACTTATAATTTGATGCTCTTTATGAAAAAATCAAAGGTGCTTTTAGTAAAAAGTGAAAGGAAAAGTTGTCAGTTATCCAGGTGATCTGATACATGTAGATAATCTTAATAGCTTAAACAAAAAGAGATAATTTGACAATGATCTGGCATTTTAGGCTATATACATAATTGAATGATAAGATATATTTATTTGACACAAGTTTTCCAGGTGCCAGATTTGGTGCTAAATCATTTAAACAACACAACTCCCTCTCAGAGAGCATACATTCTAGTGGGGAAGACAGACAATAAAAATGTAAGTTCAAAAGATAAGTTTGTGACAAGAGCCAGGAGGCTTACAGTGGTATGCCAGACAGTCACTTCTTTTTGAGGCAGCTATACTTAGGCAGAGATTTGAAGTGAGGTTGAAAACCTTTACTTCCAGAGCTCAGTATCTAAATTGGGTTTCCACATAGATAAAATTAATAATTATAGTATAATGGGGGAAAGAATGAATTTTGCAGCTGACACATGGCATCTGAGTTTGGCCACCCTGGGTAATTTACTTCTCATTTCTGCACATGTGCTTCCAGATATAGCCATAATAGTGCCCACCTAACTGAGCCATTGGTGGAATTAAAAGGAGGCAGTATCATAATGAGTCAGATGTGTGTGTTTCTTTTCTTTTCTTTTTTTTTTTTTTTTGAGACGGAGTCACTGTGTCGCACAGGCTGGAGTGCAGTGGCACTATCTCGGCTCACTGCAAGCTCCGCCTCCCGGGTTCACGCCATTCTCCTGCCTCAGCCTCCCGAGTAGCTGAGACTACAGGCGCCTGCCACCACGCCTGGCTAATTTTTTTGTATTTTTAGTAGAGATGGGGTTTCACCTTGTTAGCCGGGATGGTCTCGATCTCCTGACCTCGTGATCCGCCCACCTCGGCCTCCCAAAGTGCTGGGATTACAAGCGTGAGCCACCATGCCCGGCCCAGATGTGTGTTTCTATATGAATTCATTTATATCACCCAGCAACCCTAGAGCACAGGCACCATTATTATCCTCATTATACAGATGAGGAAACCAAGCATCCAGAGGGTAGAAGTGGGGTTTAAATGGGGATGGTTTGACTACAGACCCAGGCTTTTAAAATACTATTCTATGCTGCCCCCTGGTATTAATAACTAGCAAACAGGGCTTAGTGAGTCTTTTTCCCCTTCACTTGAGACAAATACAGCTTTAGAAAACAGAAATTTTTTTACAAGTTTATCCTAAGAAAATAATGGATGAGCACAGAGTTAAAGTATGCTCATCACTACTAAAGAATGTTTATTGATTGATTGATTGATTATTTTTTAAGTTCTGGGGTACATGCACAGTATGTACAGGTTTGTTACATAGGTAAATGTGTGTCATGGTGGTGTATTGTACCTATCAACTCATCACCTAGGTATGAAGCCCAGCATGTTTATTTTTAAAAGTTGTTTTAATATCCTAAAAATGTATCATATAGCCATAAAGTTGTGGTTATAAAATAATATTAAATGGCATGGGAAATATTCACTATATGTTAAGTGAAAAGCAAGTTTCACCTGTCCAATGTGATCAATTGTTATAGTGCATATATGCCCAGAAAAAAAGACATGCATAGCGGGTAGAGAGAGCAGGGAGGAGGGCATTTCTGGCCTCAGCGGGATGCTTGTCCCTTAGGCTGTACAGGGTGGCTGGGGCTTTGTATTTTTGGATTTTTTTTTTTGTATTTTTCTATACTTTTCAAAATTTTTATGATGAACATATGTCTTTTCAGTACAAGAGAAACAATAGAAATGGAAGTTATCAAAACACTACTCCTTTTACAACAGCCTATTTGTCTTTGTTTATTCATACAATGTTTTTCTCCTTGTGGCATAATACTTCCATTAATGGAGATAAAGCATTCCTACCATACATTGCCTTCTCAGAAGTTTAATGAACGAGTTGGACAATCGTAGCCTCTACCTGGCATTTGCGCTCTCCCTCTGTTTGGCTGCTATAGGGCACCTTCTCCCCAAGCCTCTCACTCCGAATTTAGTGCTTTCCCTACAAAGGGTCTTACCCTTCTCTTGGGGTCAAAGAAAAATTGGGCAAATGAAATGTGTGTTTCTCTGTTAAAGAGGAGGGGCATCTGGTTCCTTGCTAGCTAGAACAATTAAAGCACTGATCTTTAACGTGAAACAGAGGTGAAGGATGGGATGTTAACAGCCACTCTGCCACCATGAGAAAATCGGACCCCATTTTGTCTGAATTTAACTGGAAATCTCATCAGCATTCTTCTATGACTCTAACTACAAATGTTACGTTTATGGTTGGAGAGCCCTGGAGTGCACTAACCTATAAAGCAGATAAATTAGAGGAAGGGATTCTGCATCACACACAAAAAGATGCTTTGCCTTACAAAAGATTCACCTCGGGGTCTTTTGACTATATGGACCCCTGTGAACAGCTGTTGTGTTGTTTACAGGTCATTAAGTATCTGGCTGAACGATGGGTTAAGGCCAGAGTGGGCTTCAGAGCTGGGGCCACTATGAATTACAGATCAATTAAATGTGGAAACAGCTTTCCAGTGGGGAATCCCACCCTTCTTTTCTGTCCTATGTCTGGGAAGGAACTGCTAGGGAGACAAGAAAAGACAGGCAGATTAGCAAGAAAGTAATTTGGGGGAACTTCTGAAAAAACTACAATGTGTGCATGCATAGAGGGTGGAGGGAGCGGGGAGGAGGGTACTCCTGGCCTCAGTGGGACACCTGTCCCTTAGGCTGTACATGGTGGCTGGGGCTTTGTTGCTCCCAGCAGGACTGCAGTGGGAGGAACCGTGAATCACAGATCCCTGTCAATGTTTGTCTCTGCTGTGGCAGCTTTGGGACAGGACCTCTTGTTTTGCAGACTCCAAAATTCTCCCTAAGAGATGTCTTAAGCAGAGGAGGACCCCCAAGGAAGAATTGTCACTGGGGCTCTCTAACCTCTACTGTAATTGACAGGCCCTGAAGAAATCTGTATCTCCATTAACTGATGGACTCAAAGACTACTAAAAATAGAAATAAGATCTACCCAGTTTAACTTATCTCATTCCCTCAAAATTCTATGCCAGCTGCTTTCTCTTCAACAAATTACAGAGCTGGGTCTCCCAGTCACCTGAAGTGAAGGAAGGTTTTAGGTTTAACCACTCAACCATTACTTTTCTGTTTCAAGTAATGAAAAATTTAATTTTTCTGGCAATTATTGATCTGATGTCAGTTCTTTATTCTACAGGTCATGATTTATGGCTACATCATGCGATGTGCATTGATCCAAGGCTTTTAATGCTCCTTCACAACATTTATTTTCCTACTAGTCTGAGAATCAGAGCCAGCACAGGATTCGCTTTCTGACCAACAGTAACATCATTGGTAGTGCCACGTAAGGGAGTTGACCATAACCGCCCCCTCCCCCCGGTATTAACTGGTACCTGAACTGTTTGGTACCAGCTCCAAATCCAAGGTGCCTACTTTGGCCAACAGAGGATCAGGATCCTTTCTACATACTGATTATACGACACCACTTTCACATTTCAGGAGTGGCCTCTAAAAGCAGTTGAACCCGTTGACCAATTATAGCCTAGAAGGACAGCTAAATAGTAATTATGTCAAACGCAACTCCTTTGTCAGATACACTGTCACATATAAATGGATAACACTAAACGATTTTATTTAAAAGATTTCCCCCACTCAGATATATAGGACTTCATTTCTGAGCTGAATTATCCTGGAACAAAAGTCAGGCTGTGACTTTTGTGTATTCAAAATCAAACATGATTCAGGAGTTAAATTAAGACTTCTCTAGAGAAGAAGTAAATAGGAATTTGGGTAATCTCTTTCCTCAAAATACTCCAGGTCAAAGTCTGTCCTCTGCATTTCTTAATGGGGTAGAATTTGGGGAATTCAATTAAGTATTTATTTAAATTCTTTAAGAGATGAAGAGCTCAGAAATGAGAAAATCCCCCACATTGTCTGTAGCAACTCCTGAGTTTATTCTTCGTTATTTTACTCCAGATCCTTTGTATAGGCATCCTTTTGACAAATTTCTTAAGAGCTTAAATTCTCCCTTTTAAGAATTTTTTTGAAAAAAGAAATTTAAAGCCTTTCTTTTGTGATAAACCTTGATCTTTGAGGGCTTTGCAACTAGTCATATTTCCTACCTTATCTTGGCATCTAGAAAGTACAGTGCCTGGGGAGAAAGACTGGGTAGTTAGGAGAAAAGGTGAGAGGGAGACTTTTCACCATATACACATTTTACCTCTTGAATTTTGAAACTTATGCATATATTATCTATTCAGAAAATTAATAAAATTTAAGTAAGAATTTCATGGCATAATGGCAACTTAGAAGACTGTTCTTTATTCTGCCATTATTTCCTTCCCATTTGTTGTTGAGAATGACTAGGCTTTGCTTTGTTTACTTTTATTATATCCTTATTTGGCCAAATTAAAAGTTAGCAACCCTATGTTATCCCTCTGCACTCTTTACTACTTGACTTTTGTCTTTGAATCTAGGTTTCAGGCTTTGACTCTGAATGTATGAATGCCTTTATTAAAAAAACATAGAGACAGGGTCTCACTCTGTTATCCAGCCTGCAGTATAGTCAGAGTATTGCTATGTTGCCCAGGCCGGTCTCAAACTCCTGACCTCAAGTGATCCTCCCACCTTGGCCTCCCAAACTGCTGGGATTACAGGCGTGAGCCACCACACCTGGCCTCTATCAGTACCTTTCATTAGAAACTGCCTCATTTTGTTTTTGAATTAGGCTAGATATAAACACACAAATGCACACGCACAAACACGCACCATACACATACACAGGGTCACACACTAAACTTTAGTGCTGAAAGTTCCTGTTCCCATCCCCTCACATGGTGAATGAGGAATATGCTACTGTTACTATGCCCTGTTAATGGTGGCCCAGGACCTAGAACCCAGGTCTCCATAATTCCCAGTCCATCACCCTTTCCATTAACATTAAAAATACATTTCAAATCAATCAGAAACATGATTTGATTTCTAAAAATACCGTTGCATACCACTTGGGAAAACCTAACAATTGCAAAAGGATCTCCAAGAAGTAATTTTTATCTTTATAGGAAAAAGAAATGAGCTCAGATATATTTTTTTCTTTAGCCGTGCTATTTATATTCAGTACCTCGTGTTACTTTGAAAAAAGGACATTAGTATAGTCACTTTCTGCTCTGTTGGCTCCTTCCTCCCCATCTCCGAAAGCTAAAATATAAACTCCTTAGCACAGCATCCAGCGTTCTTTAGATTTGTGCTTTCCCCTACTCTCTACCCCATCAAACTACTTCTGGGTTCCTAAACACACCATTTCACCTCATGTTTTCATGAGCGTGCACATGCTGCCCCTCCAACCAGGACCACTTTTTCCATCAAAATGATCCCTCCCACAATAATTCGTTCATAAAGACTCAATGTCACTTCCTCCAAAAGGCTTGCCTGGCCTCACAGATGTCATTAGTTACCCCCTTCCTTTGTGCTCCCATTGACACTTTGGAGATACCTCTTTTAGCACGTATCTCACCATTCATCATTCCTGGAATATTTGTCTCCCTAATAAAATTGTAAGCTCAAGAACAGCACTGCCATCTTTCTTGCAATTGCCTCCCCATTGTCTACCTAGCATTGTGCTCAGCATACAGTAGGTGATCAATAAATGTTCTCAGAAGGAAGAGCAAGGAGGAGAAAGGAAGACCCTCAGTTGAGATGCAAACAGAATAAAATCTCTCGCATGTTCCCTTTTGGATTGTGGTCAAGGAAAAGAATGTTTTCACCTTGCCTAGTGGCCCAGAAATAACTGCCTAAAAAGAGCCTTTACAGAAACCATGGAGCCCAGGCCTTGAGGAAGAAAGCAGGTAGGCACACTCTTCGCTGCCTTATTCTCTTCTTCATATTTAGGCACGTGCCTGTGGAACATTCTCTTTGCCCTGCACAAAGGCAGAGAAGCCTGCCTGATTACCCTTTAGTATTGAGTGACATACAGAATGACTTAGGCCATGCTTACATAATCCTTATTATACACAAAACTGAGAATGGTGACTTACCAGCTCATGGTGTATGCTGCTAATCCATTTTACCACTCATTCCCTAGTCTCTTGAACTTTCCTTAAACACTAGTTTCTCCAACTGGGAAGGGACAAAAGGAAAAAGCAGAAGTCTGATGGCCAAGTTCTAATCCCCACTGTGCCATGTAACTGTGAGCGCATTTTCTCTCTTTGAGAAGTCTCAGTTTCTGCTTCTATAAAATGACATGCTTGGACTAATGATCCCCTACAGCTCTTCTAGATCTAAAAACTATGATTTTGTGTAAGAGCATATCAAGATATGGAATTACATGCTGAAAAAATATAACGGTAATCAACCAATATTCATTACATTTAGTTTACGTGCAGACAGAGTACCAAGTGCATAGGCGTATGTGAGGGATATAAAAAAAGTCTAGGAAATGACTCCTGCCCTCCATGGGCCAACAACCTAATCAGAGCTTTAAAACACACTGAAAACATGCCAAGTATTGTGAGCAGATGTGCAAAGTGCCAGGTGAACGGTAGAGATGATCAAAACTTAGACGCCACATAACCAATATACTAGAAGACCTCACTCAGAATAAGGAGAGAATGAACCACTGAAATGACAAGAATGCGGCTAGCTTCCCCATCCTTTGATGCTCATAAATCAGTGAGGAATAAGCCATGGCTTTCTGTTAGACATTTTAAATCAATGTCAGCCTCTAATTTAAAAAGTGAGAAGAAAATGTAGTCTTCTGTTATTAACCCTTAGTACTCTAATAAAAATAATATTCATAATAATAATAAAAAACTTGCCAAGTGCCAGTCCTGAATCCATTGATGGGCAGTTGCACTACGTAAAATCATATGACTTAGATCAGTTTTCAACAACTTTGCCTCTATGGAGGGTGCTTCCATAGAGCATCCACCTCAGTTCTGGGGAAAAACAGTATCAAGACCTTTCTGCCATGATTGTAACAAGAGCTTCGTTTCCTCTGGCTGTGTTTTGAGAGTTACCTCTCCTTTCTCTTCCTTTTCCCCCTAACACTGTCACTCACACATCTCTCCTGATTCCCACTACATTCTTGTTTCTCTCAGGCCCTGCTGACAGGCTTGCCTGCCTGCTTTAACCTATTTAACCAGACAGTAAGAATAAGAAAACTATAGCTGCTTACAGGCAAATTCCAATTCTAGATTAGAGGAGATTTCATACAACTTGCAAATGTAGGAGTTCAAGTGCCAGGCAGAAGTATAGGCTGGGATCTCACATCTTGAGTCATTCATTTGGGGAAAATTTATTCCCGATTCTTTGACTTCATTTTAGCTCCTTATCTCCATGGGCTTTTTTTTTTTTTTTTTTTTCTCATATTGAATTATTCTGTTTTGGTGGCTGAAATAGTACTTTTTAGCAAGAGTGGGTTGGAACCCTGAAACTCTATAAAAAGGACTAAGTGTGCTGATTTGTGTGTTTCTCTCTAAGGCTCCTTAAACTTCATTGTTTTAAAATGTAGAAATTAAATTAAAAGAGAAATTTCCTGTCAGATAACTAATCCTAAAAATTAAAATATTGTCATTTGATTATTGTTTTAGTCTCCCATTTGCCTTTTAACCTAATGGGTTTAGTAAACCAATTTCCTTTATACATTTCACTCAGTCGCATCATGAGTGACATATTATTTTGCTAATGCTTTAGGACACTAATGTAGAGGAGAATGTGTTCTAGTCACATGGTTAGCACACTAACATAAAAGACTAATTTCTAGGCCCATCGGTGGCTCTCATTCACCAGAAAGCCACATCCTGGTGGCGGAGGTGCTGGCCTGGGAACCAGTTCCCAGGAGCTCAAAAATGAGAGCTGCTTCAAGTTGCTCCTAACTCCTTCCTAGCATCTACTGCTATATCTGGATTTTCAGAGTTGGTGAGCAAAACCAATAATTTTTCCAGAAGAAAATGGAGTGTAAATGTAGTCATCTCTATTTGAAAGTTTTTGATACTTACAACCCATAACCACTATTGAACATGTCACGTTTTTTCTTATGCTTTCTTGAGTTTTGTTTTACTTTAATGCCCCACAGATCCTGAGCTCGGGCTGGGAGTTGTGGTTGGTGGTACGAGTGTGCCTAGGAGGGGTGGAATTCTTTAAACTCAGACCTCTGGGAACTTCTGCCCCAGCAACAGCACTAGTGAGAGGAAAAGCTAATGTAGTCATTGTAGGTCATACTTGAAGATATTTATGGAACTTCACGTGCTATCTATAGGAGTTCTTCAGGCCTGGGGTCAAAAGTAGCAGAATAAGCAACATTCTGCAGCAGGAGCTGCTACTTTTTATAGGAATGAGAGAATATATAGTAAAATCTAAGATCTCAACTTTCAGAGGTAGAGGATTGATTTTAGTCCTCCTTCAGTCACTCAACTACAAGTCCCAGAGTTCTTTTTATATGAAAAAATAGAAAATGAAAGCACCATTTAACCCAAGATATTTCCCAAAAGAACATTAGAAGCCAGCATGTCACTCAATCTTGTTTTTGTAAGCTCCTGAAGTAAATAAATTAGTCTTGAGTGTCTCTACATTGCACCAAGAAGATCTGAAATAAAATTAGATTAGTAGCTTTGAGCAAAAAGGACATTTATTTCTCCTTTTCCTCTCTCTTTCTCAAACTCACAGGTATGTGAAATCATATTTCATATTGTGGGTTTGAAGTATAAACAAGAAAGCCAGAGTCAGAGAACCAAAATAAACCAACCACCAATCTATTTTCCAGTCTCAGCCCTTCCATTTTTCTGGTAGAGGTCTGAAATTAATCTTGTTTCCAGAAGTTGGGTATGTGCTGTGGAGCTCCTTCAAGCCACAGCTGTGCCTCCATCACATGTAAACACCATTGGATTCCACATTGCTTCCTAATTTGGCCACTGGCACTGTGGTCCACACTTGAACCTTAGCTCCATTGGTTGAACCATAACAACCTGACATTTCCTCTTCCTGGGAGGTTAGACTCCCCTAATTGCTGCTTCACCTAGTTCACCGCCTCCCCGTCCTAGTGCTGACTCTACTGCCCAAATATATGGCCCCGATCTCCTTCACACTGTGAACCACACTAGGCTTGGCTGGATCACCTTAGGGTATGGGCTGGCCAGCCCTACCTGCCCCCACCTCACTCCCTTCTCCCCACCAGCTCTCCATTAAGGTCCCAGTATCTATTTATCTTTCAGTGGATACTGAGCACCTACTCTGTTCTAGTTACTGTGCCAGGCACTGGAGTCGCAACATTGAATTAGGCAGCATTCTGCCCTCAAGGAACAAACTAATGGAAAAGGCAGCAAATTAAAGATGATAAAGATTGCTGTGACAAAGGAATGAACTCTGACCCAATGTCCTCCTTCCGCTCATCTTTGAGCAGAGGGGAAATGGCCTTCAATTCTTGCATATGTACTAAGTAAACTCAGCTTTTTATGAAATTATCAATTCAGCTCAGTTGACTGTGAAAATATATAATTCATTTTTTAATGAACAACACGGAATAGTTGAGTATTGCCCAAGGATTATAATCTCAAAATCGCTGCTGGCCATACTCCCAAAAGCCTGGTGAAAGCATATTTGTGGAGGATTGCCTGAAGGAAGTGCAGATCAGCTTGGTCTGCTTTACAGAACTATTATAAACTGCTGAATCCTCCTGGGATCCCCAAAGCCCACCCATCAGACCCTTCGAGGGCCTCCTTTAAACCTCTTAGTGGTGGGACTCTAGGGCTGCATGAAGCACAGTTTGCTCTGGGGAGCTTAAAACTTAGCTGAGGGTAGGTACTGCTCTCTTCCTGAAATGCCCTCGTCTTTGGTATTCATTCAACACTTTCTCACTATCTCCTTCCTATCTCTCTGGCTTCTTCTTTTAGCCAGTTTTGCAGATTACTTTCTCTGATAATCCAAAACAGAACTCCTTATCTTCTCCCACAAAACTTGTCCCTGCTTTTAAGCTCCTACATGCCTCAGCCTCTGCCCTCCTCTGCAGGTTCCTCCAAGCCTCCACCTCACTGCTCTCCTTTTGTGCCCCATGCTGCAGCCAGTCTGGACATATTTCATGTCCTTAGATTCAGCCTATTTGCATTTACCTCCTCACCTTTACACATGATGTTCCCTCTGCCCAAAATGCTTAGACACGTGAGCACACACACCTACATGCACACATCTTACCCTCAGTTAGTTCATCTTCTAGATGCCTCTTCTTCCAAGAAGTCTTCCCTCACTCTACCTCCATTCCCTCCAACTATGCAATACCAGAATACTTCGGACTACTCACTTTATTGTAATTGTCATATATTCTGTTAAGTGCCTGTTACAAAATGAAGTGATTTTTGTTGTTGTTGTTGTTGTTGTTGAGATGGCATCTCTCTCTGTCTCCCAGGCTGGAGTGCAGTGGTGCAGTCTCAGCTCACTGCAACCTCCACATCACAGGCTCAAGCATTTCTCTTTCCTCAGCCTCCCAAGTAGCTGGGATTACAGACACTCACCACCATGCCTGGCTAATTTTTGTATTTTTAGTAGAGGCGGGGTTTCACCATGTTGGCCAGGCTGGTCTCGAACTCCTGACCTCAGGTGATCCACCCTTCTCAGCCTCCCAAAGTGCTGGAATCACAGGCGTGAGCCACCATGACCGGACAAAATGAAGTAATTAAATTGCTCTTCTAAAAAATAAATTTCATTGAATTCATGGGTGCTCTGAGAAACATCCCCAAGAAACACATTGTGAGTGCTCTGTGAGGATGTTATTCATCATTTCTCTAGAGCCTTCTTCACGTGGACCTGGGGTGTGGGTGATTCTTTCTGCTCTTCAATTTACTAATAGTCATACTTCTCCTAAGAACAGGATTGTTTTAATTTAGATACCTTTTCCATTGTGTAGGAATTATATAACCATCGTCACATTGGCTGCTAGAAATCTGAAAACTAAATCGTGTCTCACTCTTTATGGGATGAATTTTATGAACTTGTCTCATTTATTTTTCTCATCTTTCATATCTACTTTCAAGTTATGCTAACTTGCTATGTGTTATGGGTACATAACAGTAAGTGGACATAAATCTTTTCCGGAATAAAGGAATAACTAATCGAATAAACAAAATGATAGAGGAGTATAAGGTTCAACAGAGAAAAGTAGCCTCTAAATGGTGGAAGGGTGTACCAAACGGTACTCCTTAATTTGTAAGTCACTTAAACCCCAAACTGGCTTAAATGACAACAAAATATTAAATTAACTGAAAAGTTTAGTGGTAGTTCATTTTCAGGTAGAGTTTGATCCAGGAGCTCAAATCATGCCATCAGATCCTGTTCTCTCACCATCTCTCCCTTCTATCCTCCTTCATGCTTGCTCAATGCTCAGGCTTCCTGTGGTGACAAAATAGTTTCTGGAATCTAGACCTTTGCATTCCAAGATGTATGTTTAAAAGACAGAAGAACAAGAGAATATCTCCTGTCTATGAATAAAAAATCCATAAGGATAGATAGAGACTTTGGATATTTGGTTTACTGTTGAATTCCCAGCAAGGCAGTGGCTGGTATATAAGTGATCAATAAATACTTGTTGAAGTTGTTGTTATGGCATCACTAAAAGCTCATGCACAAATCCCAATACTTGACCTGGGTCACATGCCCATCCCTGAACTAATCTTTTGGTCAGGGGATCCAGTGCTCTAATTTTCCAGGTCTGGGTCACCTGATCCTAACACCAAAACCAGGGATGAGTCTCCAACTAATCCATGTGCACTGACAGTGGGAGATGATGGTTCCTCAAGGGAAATTGGGGGCATTACAAAGAAGGAGAAACAAGCTTGGCAGACAAAACAATAAATAATGCACATCAATGGACTACCAAGAAGGTGATGTTTGAGTCGAATGGTAAAGGATAAGCAGGAGTTAGCTAATAAAGAGGGCAATTTTCAGTGGGTAACATTCTAGGTATTTTCAAAGCACAGAGTCATAAAACAGCCTGATGCTTTTGAAGAACTGTAAATAGCTTAATATGGTTAGAGCAAACAAGGGTGGAGAGTAGTAAAAAAAAAATAAGCCAGAGAGATAGGCATAGTGCAAATATAAAAGACCTTTAGAACTAATCCAAGGAGTGTGCACTCTATCCTGAAAGCCCTGAAGAGCATAAGTAGGATTTGCAGCCCGGGAGCACGCCTGACAGCCAGGCCCTTGCAGATCATTATAGGGTCAACACTGATTCACCCTGCAAACACTGGTTGGGGCTGGGTCTGCAAGTCAAAGAAAGGAGTCCCAGATGTGGATGAACAAGAGACACAGGGAGCAGACGCCAAGCAAATCCTAGGAATCAAACAGACCTGGGAATCAAACAAAGACTGCCAACACTGTCTGATTGTTGCTTAATTCTCAAGCTTGTGGCCCACACTGTCACGAATTCTTCATCTAAATATGAAAATCCTCTTTAGTGAGCCACGACACATTCAGAGCATGACATGGTTGGGTATTGTACTAGTTTGCTGGGGCTACCATAATAAAGTACCACAAACTGGGTGGCTGAAACAACTGAAATTTATTGTCTTACAGTTGTGCAGGTGGAAAGTCTGAGATCAAGGTGTGGGCAGGGTTGGTTCCTTCTGAGAGCTGTGAGGAAGAATCTGTTCCGTGCCTCTCTCCTGGCTTCTGGTAATTTGCTGGCAATCAATGATGTTCCTTGGCTTGCAGAAGCATCACCCTGATCTCCGCCTTCACCTCTATGTGGTATTCTCCCTGTGTGCATGTCTGTCTCCAAATTCTGCTCCCCACCTCTTTTTGAGACACGGTCTCGCTGTATTGCCCAGGCTAGAGTGCAGGGACACCATAATGGCTCACCACAGCCTCGATGTCCTGGGCTCAAGTGATTGTCCTGCCTCAGCCTTCCAGTAGCTGGGAACATAGGTGCATGCCCATGCCACCACACCTGGCGATTTCTTTCTTTTTTTTCCTTTTTTTTTTTTTTGGAGAGACAAGATCTCCCTGTGTTGCCTGTTGCCCAGGCTCATCTCAAACTCCTGGGCTTAAGTGACTCTCCCACCTCAGCCTCCCAAAGTGCTGGGAGTATAGGCATGAGTCACTATGCCTGCCCAAGTTTCCCCTTTTTATAAGGATAAAAATCATATTGGATTAGGACTGAACTTAGTGACCTCATGTTAACTTGATTAACTCTGCAAAGACCTTATCTCCAAATAAGGTTGCATTCTGAGGTACTGCAGTTAAGGACTTCAACATGAAGTTTTGGAGGACACAATTCAACACACAAAAATGTTATTTTTAAAAAGAAGTTGCAGCCAGGCTCAGTGGCTCATGCCTGTAATCCTAGCACTTTGGGAGGCCAAGGCAGGTGGATCACTTGAGGTCAGGAGTTCAAGACCAGCCTGGCCAACATGGCGAAACCCCGTCTGTACTAAAAATACAAAAATTAGCTGGGTGTGATGGCATGCACCTGTAGTCCCAGCTACTCGGGCAGCTGAGGCAGGAGAATTGCATGAACCCTGGGGTCAGAGTTTGCAGTGAGCCAAGATCGTGCCATTTCACGCCAGCCTGGGCGAAGAGCAAGACTCCATCTCAAATAAATAAATAAAATAAAAAGAAGTTACTTAGCCACGTACGGTAGTGCATGCCTGTAGTCTCAGCTACTCGGGAGGCTGTGGCGGGAGGATCACTTGAGCCCAGGAGTTTGAGGCTGAAGTGAGCTGTGATCACCACTGCACTCCAGACTGGGTGACAGATCAAGGGTGTCTCAAAAAAGAAAAGTAGACATTCTCTAAGTGAATTGATTTCTTACAAAAGGTATGACATCATGTTGCTTTGTAAAGACAAAGAAAATAACACCATTAATAAAACAGACTCAGAAAAAAGAAAAAGAGACCCAGGAGCAATTCAAGAGTTCACAATGAAGAATGCTTTTTCAGATTAAATAAAAAACAGTTCTTTTCTACTTGTGGGATTTTGCATGGAGGCTGCTATAGAGAAGGGTGCTTGTGAGAAGATGCCTTATAAAATGAAATACAAACGTTCCAGTGATTTCTGCAGCATTCAATCTTCCCAACAGTTCCCTGAGCTGAATATTATTACCCTCACTTACCAATGAGAAACTAAGCCTGAGAGAGGTTAACTACATTACCCCAGGCTACATTTGGTAAGCGGTGGGGCTGAAATTTGAAATCAGACTGTTGTGACCTCAGACCATCACATGCACTGGCCGGAGTAATTTTATGAGTCCTGGTTGAAGGCCAAGTATTCACCTTTGCAATGGATCCAAAAGATGCTGCCCAGCACACAGTCCAAAGAGGCAGTAATCCTCCAGAGGGAATGACCATGTATCATCCACAGTGCTCAGGGTGTCTGCTCCACATAATAGATGCTCAACAAACAAAACCTTTGTGAAGTCACTGTACAGCAATAAGATTTATTTCACCTATGGAGGTAGTGAAATTTTCTTTGGCAGTTCTGGAGGTTAGATAGAACCTAAAAGTTGATAGCTTAATAGAAGCATTTGTAACCCCAGCAAGATAAACAGACACAACTTCAAAGGCCAATTCCAATAAAATGCTGAGGGGCAAGAAAACCTGGTTTGTTCTTTCCCAGATTCTCGTCACCTGAGGTCAGGAGTTCGAGACCAGCCTGGCCAACATGGGGAAACTGTCTCTACTAAAAATACAAAAATTACCTGGGCGCGGTGGCAGGTGCCTGTAATCCCAGCTACTCGGGAGGTTGAGGAAGGAGAATCGCTTCAACACGGGGGCGGGGCGGAGGTTGCAGTGAGCGGAGATCGCGCCACTGCACTCCAGCCTGTGTGACAAGAGCGAAACTCCGTCTCAAAAAAAAAAAAAAAAAAAAAAAAAAAAAAAAACAACGCTAGCAAGTGGAATTATTTCAAAAGCAACAGCCTTGTTTCCTGAGTGATCTGAGCTCAGGAACTCTGCCTGGGCATCTAGACAGGAGAAAGTATCTACAGCGTGGGGAGATCTGAGTCAGAATTATAGAGCACAGTGCTGAAGCCATACATTTTCCTGGATTTAGACAGTTTCCTCCTCCATTTGCCTTTATTTCCTTGCATTCTCTTTTCATCGGCTCCATTTTTGCTGAGTATTCCTTTGCTTTATTCCCAACGAAAATCGAAAAGACTTGATGTTCTGAGAAATTCTGAGACTGGCAGTTTTGATTTTTCTTAAAAGGATAAAAATTGCATCAGTCAACACCTCCCTCCACACTCCCCCCACACACATCCTCATCTTCCTGGAAGATGATACAGTATCCTAGAGCGTTGTGGAGAGGATGGAGAGGTCAAGGAAGCCCTGGCTTTGCAGA
This sequence comes from Homo sapiens, assembly GCF_000001405.40. Classification (NCBI taxonomy): domain Eukaryota; kingdom Metazoa; phylum Chordata; class Mammalia; order Primates; family Hominidae; genus Homo; species Homo sapiens. The sequence goes on along the minus strand of NC_000012.12, from coordinate 42,590,844 downwards.
GGCACCTGTCAAGTTCGGGTTAACAGCTGCCGCCTGTGTCTGCCCTCTGCAGTCCAGGGAAATAGTACCCACACGGTGAGACTCCACCGATCCGGAACTGGAGAGGGTGGGGGGTTCTAAGGTTTAGTGTGACACAAATGTCAGGGCAGAACTTTCAAACAGGCTGAGCCCCAGTTCAACGTGGGTGAGTGCGCCTGAGAGCCCAGCTCTGGGAATTGAGCAGACTGAAAATGTGGAGAGTAGTTTGGCCAGTGAAAAATTGTCACCGTGTTCGGATCAATGCTTTGAACCCGCTTTTAAGTGCGCCACGTTCACTTGGGTCAGGCTCTGGACATTGCGGTGGGCTGAGGTTTTCGCGGGCACGATCCCCCACACTGAGTTTTCATGGAGACGACCAGGGCCGTCGAGGCGGGGAAGGGAACGGACTAGAGGCTGAACTTTGGCTTCTTGCTCTGAAAGATCACTCCTCCGGTTCCGGGGCAGAGACTCAGACCAGCCTGTGGGATTACACGAGACAGGATCGAGTCCAAACGGGTCCCCAGCTCGGCAAGGCGCGCCGGAAGGAATCTAAGTGTTTAATTAACTGCCCCCTTCACACACCCCCCGAAGGAGAAGGAACTCAAATAGGCACCCCTACCCAAATCGTTTGATCAGAGGAAATTGGGTTTGTCTCTCCCCCACCCCCCACCCCGTCCCTTCACTCTTCCTGTGTTTCAGTCCATCGGGATTGTTGGTTAAAAAAAAAAAAAAAAAAAGGCTTATAATCGGGGGCGGGGCAGAGGCTCCGAGCGAGCCGCACTTGCGACTCTGGACCGCGGTTGGTGAACTTTTTTCTCCCTGCGCATAATCCGCCTGCTGCTCTGCCCCACTGGCTGCGCGTGGAGCCGGTCCCAGGCCTGCTCGCAGCCCTGCCCCCGGGCGCGGCCCGAGCCGGGCCCGACCTCGCTTTCAGGGCCGAGCCGGGGTACGCGTGGGCGCGCGCCCAGCGGCCTCGATCCCGCGGCGGCGTCCGCGCTCCGCGTTTTCGCTCGCGCCGGGCCCCGCGGCCGAGGGCGGGGTGCGCGGCGGCGCCGCAGCGCGCGGCTCCGGAGCCCGAGCGCACTCCGCCTGCAGCCCAGCTGCCAGCGCCGTCTCCCGCGGCCGCCGCCGCCCGACAGCGCGCCCGGAACATGCCAGCCTCGCGCAGCCTGCGCTGACTTCCCCGAGACGCGCCGCGGTCGGCACGGAGACTTTCTGGGCTCTGGATGGTTCGTGCGCTGCTCACCCTCGCCCACCCCTGACGCCGCGGACCGCAGCTCCTCAGCCCCGCAGCCCCGCAGCCCAGCAGCCCCGCAGCGGCGCCGAGGACAGTGCAGCCGAGTTGCGTCTCCCTCGCGCGAGGTGAGTGGCAGCCTGGATCCCGGCGGATTCCGCAGAGGGGGCTGCGGCGCGGTGGTGGGGGGCGAGCGCCGCAGGGGTAGGGCCGGGCACCTTCGCTGGCACCGCCGGAGTCTGTGACACCCAGACTGGGTCGGTGTCGCAGAAGATCAGGGAGAAGGTCATAATCGGTTTGTTGGGCTGTGTAGACAGGGAAAGCAGATATTGGCTGCAGCATCGCCAGGGCTCCGCAGAGGCTCTCCGCATGGCTCCTGTTTGCTGCATCACAACCAACTCTTCCCTTGGTTTTCTCCGGCGTGGAAACAGGTTCTGTAGCCCGAGGGTCGAGGCGATGCGGGGCGCCGGGAGGCGAGGGTGCGTTGGCGTGTTCCCGCCGCTTAGGATCGCCTGTCACCTACTGGCGTCCGGAGGGAGGGTACCGATTCTCTCCTCTAGCGCTGGGGAAAGGGGCTGGTGGCTTTTTGGCAGAGGCGAATCAACTCCCACCACTCTCCCCAACCCCCTGCCCCGCGATGGTGTTTGCTGAATGTAGCACAGATATAGGGAAAAAATGGGAGCGTCTTCCTCTCTTGAGGTAGAAAAAGTTGAAGAAACTAGGCATGTTAATAGTTATTAGGAGCGGGACTCAGGATGCAGCAGAAAGCTGTTAAATTTTCATTACCCTCTAAGAAAAACAAACGGCATCGCCAGTGACTATTGGCAGTGCTGTGTTATTCTTGGGACTTTGGGAAAATTGTTCACAGATTGTCTTCAGGAGGCTGAAGAACGAGGTTGGGGGTTGGGAGAGAGGGAGGACGGCTGCATCACGCTTAGTTCCAGCTTGCCTAAGGAGGGTTCAGGATCACAAGCCGAACGCGTTTGGTTGCTGATTTTTAAAAGGGTATCAGCGGCAGAACTGAGACCATGAACAAGGCAAACACACCACGGGAACCAGCCTAAAGGAAAAAAAAAAAGCACCAACAACTACAACCAAAAAAACATGTAAAAATCTGCCTCTCCTGCAGAGTTAACATGCATTTGTGCTATCAAATGGATGCATGTATATGTGTCTTTTAGGATAAGTTTTATGAATGACAAATCACTGAAATGGTATCTTGTATCTGTTCATGCATACAGTGTTGTCTACTGCCTCGTCTTAATCAGTACTTTGGAAGGCTGTGCCTGCAGTTGATGTTATATAATTGATGTGGTTCACCATCAGACATTTTTTAATGTACTTTAGGAGTAGAGGGAACTTCCATCTGTCTTTTCAGACAGGCCCAAGGTGTAGACTGGTGAGGGTTGCTAATGTTTGCCGTAGTCCGGCTCCAGATGTGTGAGCTCAGCTGTTGCCTGTCACTTAGGTGACAACTGGCCCTTTCCCACTAAGCCTTTGCTGTCTCCATTATCCTCAGTGAAGTGTCAGTGTTCAGCCGCCTTCTATTATCAGGAGTGGACTCTAGCCCCTTGGGAGCCGGCAGCCTTGTTTGACCGTCCCCAACATTATGTCTGTTTTCAGACTCTAGAAAGGAAAAAAAAAACAAAAAAAAATCCCATGACAGCAAGATAGATACATTTTGAATTGAGCATCAACTTAATCCAAAGATTCTGCTTTAATCAAGACAGTTCTGTAAGGATGACGCAGTATTTGTCAAGGCTTTTCTCTGGAACAATATTTACTCCCACCAGGGGATTTTAAACTTAAACAGCAGCCATTCATCTTGCTGTCTGGTGGAGCCTGGTTCAGTTTGCCTCCAATGTGGTCCTAGCCTTGGTGGCTAGGCTTGGCCTGGGACAGGAATCTGTCATTGTAGCCCAGCTGGAGCCTGAAGAAAGCAAAATACAGCACCTGCTGGTACCAGAGGGTTTCTAAATGCCATCAACTGGCGAGTCAGGAAACACAGAAGGAGATATTTTACCAGCTCTTCCAGAAATGTTTATACAAAGGATTTAGAGGTTAACAATGCATGTGCTCTACATATTAAAACCGAAAGGTGCTACAAATAAATGGATGTTACCCACAGTTAAGGGTTTGCACACTTGCTGATGAACTTGAAAATCTCCAAGTTTAATAAGTCATGGCTAATGTAGTATGATTCATTCTTATAAATAAGCCTCAAAAGGAAGGAAGGAAGGAAAAGAGGGAGGGATGGAGAGAGGGAGGGAAAAAGGAAGGAAAAACTGGATAGTTTATAGAGATAGACATATTGATGCAACTGAATGGGCTTAGTAAATTAATTTTTCCATCTTTAATTTGGTACTAATTGGCGAGTTATCACCGAGTGAGCCTGTTGGTTCATAGGTTTTAAAAAGAAAAATGATATATTTTACTAAAGTGACAGATTCAATCAGTTCTGCCAGTAACACCAGTGAAGCTTAAAAAGCTTATTATGTTTTTATAATCAAGGTCCATGGAAGCACTATTTGTCCATGGTGTGTGGTGGTGTAATAAGTCAGCTTGAGTCCCCCAGATAAAATCTAATATTAGCTAGGGAGAAATAAAGATCTCCTATAGGGTTAATAGCTGAACTCTTAACTTTAGAGTCAGATGTAGGTAAGTCTAGTTGTTCCTAATATTCTCTCTTTTGATAATTCTGAAAAGACCAAAAAAGTTAAATTTTGCAGTTTCTTTGATTAAGGCTTTTAAAAAGTAAGCTGAATTATAAGTTTTAAAAGTTGCATCATAATTTCTCTAAAATCTCTTATAATTACTTGAAAGCAAAATACAAAGAATTAAGTATTATGAGTGATTGTCTATAATACTCATGAAATGGAACAAGAATCTTTACAAAGTATTTTCCAGTAATTAAGTAACTCTCTTAATGGCCTATACCTATATTTTGGGCTCTCTAATATCATGGGAAACAATTTTCAGTAAAGATTATCATTACTTATATTCTACTTACTGCAGTTAATTTCCTGGTTAAAATAGTTTATAAAGAGCAAATTTTTCCTTTTAAAGAAAGACAGGAAAGCTACATGTAGTGGTGCTTGGCTCTATAGCCCCAGCTACTGGGGAGGATCGCTTGAGCCCAGGAGTTCAAGTTCAGCCCAGCCAACATTGTTAGACCCCATCTCTGGGGAAAAAAAAAAAAAAAGGTAATTTTAAAAAATCAAAGTGATTCTCATCTGTGAATAGAAATGTTAAAAGTATCATTTGACTAGGATAGACTCTTCCCCCTTGGAAAAAATAGCTGTCTCTCTCATCTCCATGTTATGTAAAATAATACCAACTGTTTAACCCTTATTAGTGAGAGAATATTAAGATTGCCTAAATCTATGTATGATTATTCCACAATAAAGAGAAGGAGTTAGGAAAGTGAAAGGATTGTGTTTCTGGGTTGCTTGGTTGGTCGATTGGTGTTTTAAGGGACCATTACTTCTTTTTCTTCTGGTCACAGAAGAAAGGATTATTGGATTGCACAATAATATCTTTAGAAGGTTGGTGTGAGCAAGCAAGTTGAGAGAGGGAAGTACAGTAATCTGGGCACCAAGTCCTGCATTGTTGCAGTTCCTCGAAACCTCATGCAGCCTATGGAGCCAGCGCTCCACAGCACGTTCCAAGGACCAAGATGGCATTGAGGAATCTGGAGCAGCCCCAAGCCTCTGACTTCCCCATCTCTGGACACACAGAAATGTAGCGCTTCATCTGCCCCAGTAACTGGTAATCACATCCCCTTGTTTATGGTCATGCTGAACTGAAGTGGAGGTTAATTACCTACGTGTTGATGAATGAACATTTTGGAGCAGTGAAAAAAGCCTGGCCTAAAATTGTATGGGGAATCTGAGTAAGCTGCTATTTCCCCCCACTTCCCCTCTCTCCTGAAGCAGGGATGGCGAACCAGACAGGCTTTACAGGTTGGAGCACGCTGATGTCATGACACTTCTGGCACAGAGATATGATAGAATAATCAGATCACTTTTCTGTATGCCAGAATGACACAATTTTTCCAAGAACCATTCCTGAGCCACTGGTCCACTGGCATTGACTATTTCCAGTTGTGGGGGGTGGGGAGGGTGATCAAACCTCTCAGAATGTAATAATTCTTCCTGTGTCTCAGTTTTATGCACTTGTTTAGACTAAACTCTAAATGCATTTTGGTTATTTTTGAAGGGACCTCTCCAGGAACAAGAATGATTGCCCAGCCTGAACCGATTAGACCTTTCCAGCTTCATTCTCCTATAAAGAGAGATTTTACATATAAAATAAAAGTAAAAATGTCAGCCAGGCAGAAGCCAATGTAAACATTTTAAAATGTAAGCTGCAAACTAGCAAGCAGCTATCATTTGCCTTTACTTAACTTTCTTCTCCCCTAAGTTTGGTCCTAAGTGAGCCTAAAAGTCAACTGACCAATTCAACAGCAGTTGCATTTTTCTCACTGGTAGATTTGGGGTAAACTCTTGGGAGAGATGCCTTTCATTTCTAGTGGATTACACTTCAGAAAAAAAAAAAAAAGTTAGGGCTGTGTTATTTCAGTTGTTCTGGTACTGAAGTCATGGACTCCTTTCTAAGAGTTTTGTCCCAGCTGCTGATTTATAGCACCCACCAGCTTCTGCTTTGCGTGTGCTTCTCTCTGTGTCCTTTTCTCATTGGGTCTCCGGAAGAAAGATCTGTCAATAATGCAATGAAAATATTGCTGTGAGATGCAGACCCGTAAGTAGACTCCTCCATGCCGAGCACTCTTGCTCAGCTGCCCTTCTTTTATCTGAGGCAGAGATCCCTGGGCTTGCAATTATGGTCTTTGACTTTGGTAACAATTCTGTTTGAAATGTTTCCAATTACACACAATATTGGCGGCATGTAGCAGCTGCATGCCAAAAAGCATTTCGAAGTGTGTTCCAAGAATCAGGCTGTGATTGCTTTTAATTTAAATAAAGGCTATTTGGTTTCCTGTGATGTTTTTTATAACCACCTTTCCCCCCATTTTTGTTGCCTTTAAAAAAAAAAGAAGTCTAATATAAAGTAGCCACCACTTAATGTGCTATAATATTGGCCCTAGTTTTCTAGGATAGCCATTTTCTTTGAGCAAGCACAACAAACTTTTTAATAAAGGAATTTTAAAGAAACATTTATAGCAGTTTGGATTACCCCAAAGAAGTAAAGGGGAAAAGGTTATCTTAGAGCATATTGTAAGTAGCTAATGTTTTCAAGTTTGCCTGTCTCCCTCTTTAGGGACATAGCAATATAGTTATCTTTTTAGGTTATTGGACATCATTTGGTACACTTTTTTTTCCCAGATTCCTCTATTTTTCTTTTTGTGGCTCTATGAAGAGGTGTTATAAAAGAACATTAAAAAGGTAGAGAGATCTCAATAAGAATATTCTTAAAATGGGGGATAGAGGGGAATCAGCACATAATTTCACGATTTTATTGGAAGTAAACTCTCCAAATCTGCCTCCTCTGTGGGCTTGAAATCTCTGAACACTGAACCCTTTTTAGAAACCTTTTAAAACTGGTGGTTTAAATCTTTTAATAGCTACTAGATATATTTGACTTATTAGATCTGAAAATAAGAAAATATACACTCTCAGGACTTGGAGTAAATGGACAGGTAATAGAACTGGGGAGTTCTGTTTCCAGGACAATTTTGGCCCACCTGAAACATAACACCTAGAGCTAGAGGGTATCCAAGAGGTGAGGTGCTAAGATGGTCCTAATGAAGGTGTTTTCACATAGGCTCTTTCAATCCTGGCAGAAACATCCTATAGAATATAGTGCTTCTTTGGGTTGAACAGTAGTTGACTTGCATAAATGCCAACATCTCTTCTGGCATCTTTGGAAATCTTCCATCATGTAATAAATATTACTGTATAACCCAAATTTGTAAATGCCATGTTTCATGTAGCCCCTGTAGAGACAGCTGAAATTAGCCTATGCTGCTAGGGATGATTGAGATCCTGGAGGTTAGGTGACTGCCTAAATCCAAAGTACTACCAGTAACTAATGCTATTGGAGGCCTTTGATGAAATATAGGAGAAGGTGTGAGGTTAAACTTAGCATAGTACTGTACTGCGAAGAATAGCCCACCAAAAGATGCTTAGAGTTTTCCCTTAAATCCCCTTTATCCTTGGAAATTGTCTTTCAGTTAAGCAAACCTTCTTGGAGGAAATTTGCTCAACTAGAGGTAAAATGAGGTTTATGTTATTTTACCAGCTGAACACCCTAGCTTGCCAGACACATCCACCTTACCCAGGCCCATTGCTATAGAGACAAAACCCACAGTAACTATGGTTGAAATAGAAAGTCTATTAAAACCTTTTTCTATGTTGGCCAGCTCCTCTGCCCCAGTTAAAATGCTGCCTTCTGTGTACACACACACACACACACACACACACACACGTTTCAATCTAATAATAGTAAACTGCTTTAAGCCATGTATAGTTTCACCAAGGGCATTTGTAATTCTTTGGTTTCTTTTATTTCACTGATAAGCAAATATGGCAATTTTCGGAAGAAACACATAACTTGTTAACTACAATTGATACTTCCAACTATCCTATTTACGTGCATGAATAATCTAAGTTCCTAATTTGGGATCTGAAAAGGGGCTAGAATTCAGGGGTGTCCAACCTTTTGGCTTCCCTGGGCCACATTGGAAGAAGAATTGTCTTGGGCCACACATGAAACATACTAACACTAACGATGGCTGGTGAGCTAAATAAAAAAAAGAAATCACACACACACACAAATCTCATAATGTTTTAAGAAAGTTTACAAATCTGTGTTGGACCACATTCAAAGCCATCCTGGGTTGCATGTGGCCCACGGTCCGTGGGTCGGACAAGCTTGTGCTATGTAGTGTGGTATGTTGTTTTGCTTTGAAATATCTCTTTCAAATCATTTAGAGGATGTTCGATTGTACACAAGAAGACTGCTTAGTGCTCTAATGTTGAAATATGTGTTATAATGTATGTCAAAAAGAGATTACATTTTACATTCTTCTGTGACTATGAAATTAATATGTATGTTCAGTGCTTGAAGTATATGCATGTTACATAATTTTTAGAAAGAGATAAAGTTAGGTCTGAAGCGCATTAGAGAATCACAGATGTTTCTTGTAAGAGAATACATATGCTTCATAGGAATTTTGAACTGCTTTCTGATGCTAAGCTTTGTTCACTGCAAGGATCATATGAATAATTTCATTGAGTTGCCCCAGTTCTTACTTACACAAGCCTTGAGAAAGGAGCTGAAGTGATAAATAACTTGCCCCCCTCACCTAGTTCTGAATTGCTTTAGCCTTTTATGTTTCATGAATGTGAAGGGAGGGAATAAAATATACAGAGAAGATGTTTGTGTTTAACTAACTTAATCATACAAGTTCCCTTTGTGGGCCTTCTATAAGCTTAAACAGCTTGGCAGGCTAATAGCCAAAAACGTGTCCTCAAGTACTGCCAAAAGTGTTAAAAGCAGACCAGGCTTTCTCCATATTGAGGTACTGGGAACATATTTTTTTTAACCTTCTGAATTTTGGGAATAAATCAGAAAAATCACTCTTTTTTTTTCCCTCCCCTTCCTTACCCACAGAAACCAAAATTATTATTCATTGCAGTGCTGAAATGAGAAACTGATAGGAATTATGATTTTTGTGTGAGAGCGTTTTAAACTAGCCTGATTTGGCTGTTTAGGCAGGAAGCAACCAGGTTATGATAGTGTATCATGGGTCTTTTTTTGTTACTGTTTATGCTGCCTGTGGACACTGGCTTCTTTGCTTTAGTTCCATAACTTTTTTTTTTTTTTTGAGATGGAGTCTCCTTCTGTCACCCAGGCTGGAGTGCAGTGGCATGATCTTGGCTCACTGCAACCTCCGCCTCCTGGGTTCAAGAGATTCTCCTGTCTCAGCCTCCCAAGTAGCTGGGATTACAGGCATATGCCACCACGCCTGGCTAATTTTTGTATTTTTAGTGGAGACGGGGTTTCACCATGTGTTGACCAGGCTGGTCTTGAACTCCTGACCTCAAGTGATCCACCTGTCTCGCCCTCCCAAAGTACTGGGATTACAGGTGTGAGCCACCTCACCTGGCTTAGTTCCATAACCTTTAATGAAATACTTTGTCAATTTATCCTGTTTTTTCTCAAGCAGAGACCCCAAAATAGACAGTAGTGGAGGGATGTGCTATAATAGTACAGAAAAAGCCAGTTTTTTTTTAACAGTTTTTTGGATTAAAAACCAAAAAACTCAGACTAGTACAATAACTGTGTGATTTTTGAGCCAGTTTCTCAGCCTCTCTGGGCTTCAGTTTCTTCATATATAAAATGAGGGAATTAGACTAGATCAGTGTATATTAATCAAAGGATTGAATCACACACATCTAAATACAAATACACAGATTTTAATGCAGTAGGTTTTCAGTGCAGTCTTGCACTTTTAGCTTGAACAAGCTCCTCAGATGATTCCAATGTACAACTGCTGCTGAGCCATTAAATTAGGTGATGTCTAAGGTGTCCTTCTCATTCCAAAATTTGTTTCTAATCCTACTAGACCAAATTATCTGCCTGCCTGCTTTTCTTTCCTTTTCCTTTCCCTCCCTTCCTTACTCTCTCTCTCCCTTTCTGCCTCCTTCTTCCTTCCGTCCTTCCGTCCTTCCTTCCGTCCTTCCTTCCTTTCTCTTTTGTTCATTCATTCACTCTTAATGACTGCTTTTATTCCTTAAAAGTAGTCATTGATATTTTGCTGTCAAAATATTATAGATGTCATTTCAACCTGGAAATGAAGATCTATGTTCTGTGCCTGTGAGTAGATGCTAATCACAAGGAGCCATGTTTGTTCACCATTGCATACCTCATGCCTACCACAGTGCCTGGCGCATAGTAGAAACTTGACAAATACAGGGAGTCCAAAAACTCAAGAAACTTAAAAATATATATACTGTTATGTTTTCAAATAATATGCTCAGTGTATATTTTGTCAACTTGCAAACACCTCTCGCACAAAGTATCTCCCAATTTAAAACAATGAGCATAATTGTTTATCTGAAAAACAACATAATAAATACATTATTTTCCTTCAGTTTCCAGACTTTAGGCATACTCCATGGTGCATTTATTGTATTTTTCTCCAGGTTAACAACTGATCTCATTGCTTTAAATTTGGAATTACTTCAACTGGAAACATATCTGGAGGTTGACAGAAAAAGATGTTGAGCATATTATTCAAAAGTATAATTAATATACTGTTGAAAAATAAATTGATCCTATGTTTCCTCACTTTTTGAGCATCCTTATTTGTTGAATGAATGAATTCCAGTTTTCTATGTCAGTTTAAGAAATATAATCTGGTCAAATCACTGTAAAGGTTTTTAAATGTATCTGGGGCCAGGTGTGGTGACTCACACCTGTAATCCCAGCACTTTGGGAGGCCGAGGCAGGCAGATCACTTGAGGCCAAGAGTTCGAGACCAGCCTGGCCAACATGGTGAAACCCTGCCTCTACTAAAAAAAAACAAAAAATTAGCTGGACGTGGTGGCGGGTGCCTGTAATCCCAACTACCCAGGAGGCTGAAGCAGGAGAATCTCTTGAACCCAGGAGGTGGAGGTTGCAGTGAGCCAAGATTGCGCCATTGCACTCCAGCCTGGGTGGTAAGAGCAAAACCTATCTCAAAAAAAAAAATAATATAAACTCCATCTCAAAAAAATAATAATAATAAAGAAGACATATGATACCTACTTTACTTGATTTGTTGTTGTTTGTTGCCATTTTGGGGGAGGTTTTATTATTGTTTTATTTGGTTTTTAATTAAAAGAAGAACTTTAAAACTCACTATTCTGAAACCTGGCTAACTATCCAATTTCCTTTGAACTTTTACACGTGGCCAGTGGCAAAATCAGCTAGCTTTAGCACCTTCTTCCTACCATATGCCCTCTGCCAAATCAAATCATCAGGGTCTCAGAATGGAAAATTCTACCTGAATTATCTACCTGGGTTGTTTGCACATATAACTGGAAAACTCTCTTTAATTATTATGTGAAGAAATACTGTGAAGCATTTTAGGAAAAATACTTAACTGTAGCTAAACAGGTCAAGGATTACTTGAAATAAATTGAGAGCTGGTTCAGAGTATTGTATAAAGCCTTAATATTTGCAGATTTGACTTTCCTGAAGTTTTACAGCAGATCTCCTTGTTTGTACTGGACTTTAAACGAATGTTAAAAAAAAGACATGTGAAATCACAGCTCACTCTGTCCCTTCAGGTCTCTGCTCAAAAGTCATCTGATGTCAGATAGCCTTCCCTGGTCACCCTGTAAAAAATAGCAGCATCCCTGCTTTTTCCCAGTCACCATCTAGCACTCCCCAATCCTCTTAAGCTGCTGTACCTTTTTTCATAGCACTGTTAGATATTTATTGTGATAGCTACCTGTTCCCTGAAGATACCTCTGTACTGTTTTGTCTACTGCCATTTTAATGTTGTATATAAAATAAAGATAAGGTCAGGAGCAGTGGCTGAAGCCTATAATCCCAGCACTTTGGGAGGCCGAAGTGGGCAGATCACCTGAGGTCAGGAGTTCGACACCAGCCTGGCTAACATAGTGAAACCCCGTTTCTACTAAAAATACAAAAAATTAGCCTGGCGTGGTTGTGCACGCCTGTAATCCCAGCTACTCGCAAGGCTGAGGCAGGAGAATCACTTGAACCTGGAGGCTGAGGTTGCAGTGAGCCAAGATCGTGCCATTGCACTCCATCTTGGTCAACAAGAGTGAAACTCAGTCTCAAAATAAATAAATAAATAAATAAATAAATAAATAAAATGAAATAAACACAAATAGTAGCCAGTATTCTGTTTTTATCTGACCTAAAAATTTTTTAGAAAGGAGATAGAGATATTTTATTTGGAGCATTTTTGTGGGTTTTTCCCCCCAGCTGAAGTGGAGTTTCTCAGCTGTTTACCCTTTTATCTAAATAAAGCCAGAGAAACATGGTAGAATAGAAGGAAAGATGCGTATCAAATAACCCTCCTTCCTTTTCCACACTCCCAAGTGATCAAGGAAATGTAATCATCTAGCAAAGGGATGCTATATTAATAGAAGATTGAATATGTGCAACAAGGAAGCTATGTGACTTCCTTCTTCATAATACACCCATGCCACTCTGTAACCTTAAAAAAAAAATAGAGGTAGAATCTTCAGAGAGGCTTGTGATGTTGCCATGTATGTTAAAACATGGATGACAGACTGTCTTTCACTCAAACAATCTCCTGATTTAAATTCCAGGGGTGAAAAGCTAATCCTCTAAGTGATTTCAACCAGCTTGCTAGGAAACCTAGTTGCTTGAAATTATTATTTTAATGTCTCGAGTTCCAGAGCTAAATTGGCAGTGAGTCTGTTTTCCTATTAAGAAGTTGAGCCAACTTATTTATCCAGAAATTACCATGTTTCAACTTGGGGGTTCTTTATTATGATAAGACTAATACCTCCAAAGTACACAAAACACTTTCATATTCATCTCATTTTATCTTCCTTGCATCTTTATGTGCAGGTCTGACCAAGGTTATCCCAATTTACTGATGAGGAAGCTACCTTTTAGTTCGAGATGCAGCTTCCTAAGGAGCTTTGGTTTGCCAGTTCCTAAATAAAGGAATGTTTGCAGTTAAATTTTTAGAAAGAAAGAAGAAAAGAACAATAGAAAGGGAAAGTAAGCAAGCACTTGTAGCTTACCCAAAATTGTTTGATGATATTTTATTGTTTCATAAATATTGCTGTGCTTATGTGTGTTCTATATTAAATGCTTTTACATAATTATTGCATCTCCTACTAACTTGCATGGGATCTTAGATGAGTCACATAATTTTCTGGCCTTCGTACCCACTCTGTGCCTCAGTTTCCTCAGTTGTAAAGTGAGGAGAGGCTGATGATTTTTTAAGCTCAAAATTTACTTGACTCTAAAAATGTGGAGGCCATAACTTCAGGGGGATAGATAATAAATAACAAATGTGAGCTGGTAGTGTTATTATTAGTCTCATCATTCTCACCACCCAAATCCCAAATTAGAATTTTTTTAACAGTCTATTTCAAAAGTATTCATATGAGCCAGGTGCAACTTATAGCCTTATTTATTATTCAGTGTGGCCAGTTAAAATTCAACAATAGCTATGTTTTAAAGGCCTGAGGGCCTAACAGAATATACACTTCCCCTGATCAAAAGTCTGGTTTATAGTTTACCTTAGAGTTCAATGTGACAGCTAAAAAAAAAAAATGCAGTGATATTACAGAGCAAATTATTAATTGAATGTTGTTACAATAGTGGCATACTTATGTTTATGCTAAAAATTACAAATGTGATTATTATGTTTATACATGGGAAATGTGGACAATTTTTAAAGTAGTACTCAAATTAGCATGTTCACTTGTTGACACACAGTGATTAAAACTGTGTTTAAAATGTGCGTGCCCATTGACCAAACTGGATTTAATTTTGGGAGGCTTAGAGAGGGTTTGCTGGAAAATAAAAATAACATAACATTCATTTTAGTTGCATTCCTAATATTTTCAATAACCCTAATAACTTTCTTATCTTCCAAACTCCCCAGATAAATGCTGGTGTAACTATGCAGTATGTAGTGAAACTCTTCCTATAATTAATCTTTGATAACACATGTTGGCATATGTCACCATACCTACTGGCCTAGATGTTCCTTTTAGTAGCATTGTAATTAATTAAATCACTCACTTTTCAGCAAATCCTTAGGACCTCAGGTCTTGTTCACATTCTAATTAGGCTGCACCCAAAGTTATAAGCAGCCACCGGGAAGCATTACTATCTGTATTATATCTGAGATTAAGTTTTTGAATTGTTCAGATGAACACAGCAGTGAGCCATGATGTGTCTCCCAGAAGATTCATAAGTGACTATGAAGTACTGTACCAATAGGAAGAACTAATAAATTTGACATTAATAATCGCCAGTTTGAATCTGGGTCACTTCAGCCATGACTCAAAGATCAAACGCTATCAGATGGTAATGACTGTGTGAAAATTCTGCAGGAAGGCATTTCATTTCTTAATGACACCTTTGTGGGCCTTCTCAGCAGACTGTTAGAGGGTGGAACAGAAATAAAGTCGAATATGCCCCTTGGTCTGGAGGCTAGCGCTCCAGGGTATGGTTGACACACTTTTGCAGAGATGCTTTAGGAGCAGTTCACAGTGTTTTCTGTTGTTCTCTCTCCTTAAATGGATCTACAGAACCTTTCATCTTTTGCCTCTTTTCCTAACCATTTATTCACTTCAAAGTGATGGGGGCTGTTTTGCATATTCTCTGCCTTCTTTTCTCTTCTCTGAAAAGTAAGGAGAAATTGCACTTACAAATGCATGTTAACCATTTAATGTTAAGCTTTCCCATTTTTATTTCAATTTGGTGGCATGGTTTTCCTTTCAACACACCTTTACTGAGTGCCTGTGGTTTGACAGGCATTATGGTAGGTTCTGGGAATACAAACATTACATAGGAGTGGTTCAGTTTTTCAAGAGTGCAGTGTTTTGTAAGGGAGGAAGGCATGTAAGCACTTACTGGCAATATGTTGTTGTAAAGGCAGGAATAGAGAAATGTGCTGGATATAGCAGTAGCACAGAGGCAAAGCCTGAAGTTATTTGTTCTATGTGGACTATTAAGGGAGGCTTCAAAGAGGAAGAGATTATTGAGCTAGGTCTTAATGACTAAATAGGAGTTTGGCCAAGTCATTATCAGAATAGCAGAATGGGCTAGTTTAGGCAGAAGGAAAAGTATATACAAAGGCAGGAAACATTAGACAAGCGTTATGCTTAGTGAATTGCAAGTTTTTTATTTTTTTTTTTATTTTTTTTTGAGATGGAGTTTCGCTCTGTCACCCAGGCTGGAGTACAATGGCACTATCTCGGCTCACTGCAACCTCCACCTCCCAGGTTTAAGCTATTCTCCTGCCTCAGCCTCCTGAGTAGCTGGAATTACAGGTGCCCACCACCATTCCTGGCTAATTTTTGTATTTTTAGTAGAGATGGGTTTTACCATGTTAGTTAGGCTGGTCTCGAACTCCTGACCTCAGGTGATCTGCCTGCCTCGGCCTCCCAAAGTGCTGGGATTACAGGCGTGAGCCACTGTGCCTGGCCCAAATTGCACGTCTTTCTATTTGGCTATAAGATTAACTGTACTCTTAGGGACTGATTGCCACCTTTGTAAATCAGTTTAAATCAGAAATAACATATGAATTATGACAACTTTTATTGTAATCCTGTCTTTTCTGTGGCTGGCCTTAAGGTTCTAAGTAACAGCTCTCTGTGTTCCTTCATAAATATGGCATTTACCTGGCCAACCTACCAGGTGTTTACACTTGTGTCTTTTCATTGTTATGTTGTTACAATCTGAACTTATTTACTCTTTAGTTTCACTGCCAGGTTTGAATTTCAGCCTCAAGTGTTTAGACAACATTATGTAATGAATATTATGCTTTTATGACATTTGCTTTAGTACTGTAAGAGCTTTCCATGAAAGCTAATGGTTGAAAAAAAAAAAAGAAGCCTGAATGTCACCAAGTGGCCTCCAGATGTGTTTTATTGTGTTGGTATCTCTGTTTTGTTTTCATAAAACTTTTTTTTAATCTTAAAAAAAAAAAAAAGCTTTACCAAGCAGAAATAGCAGACAATAGTCTCATAGGAGATGAACTATTTTCTTCATTTCCTGATTGTTATGTTTTGAACTCCTGCTTAAAAAAAACAGCAACAACAAAACTTATGATTCAGTTGAAGAAAACCTCCACAACGGTATAAATACTGTACTTTTAAAAGCAAATCATGTTTATTCGTTTGTTTTTTGAAGGTAAACTCACTTCTTAGGTTGAAATGTTCTGCCTTCTTAGGTTGGAAGGGTCTGTTTTAATATGTGATTTTTCAATATGGTGATATTAAAATTGTGATTTAACATCTTTGAGAATTTCTGCCATCTAGTTGTTCACTGAGCAATCAGAATGTTTTCAGGCAGTCTGGTGTGTGATAAATATTTTGTAGCATATGTGGCTGAACATGCCAATTTCAAAGCGCTTTACAAGCTTTAATTAATTTTCACAATAACCAGACACAATTTGCTTTGTTGATGGAAAGTCCACAGACAGTGGGGTTCAGAGTGTTGCCCATATTTGTATAGCAAAGTGGTTTTCAAACTTTTTTTTGTTGCTGAATGCTTTTCTCAAACACAAGATTATCTGGAAGCTTAGCATGGAAAGTAGGATTGCTTTTGTTGGGAGGTGGAAAGGAGTTTGTCATAAGGCAGCTATATTTATAAACACACACAAGATACCTAGTTAAATTTGAATTTCAGGTAAATAATGAATAAGCTTTTAGTATATGTGTGTCTGAAATATTGCACGTCCCCAAGAAATTATTGGTTGTCTATCTGAAATTTAGGTTTTACTGGGCATCCTGTATTTAACCTGACAACCCTAAGCCAGTGACCATAACCCCATCCCTCAGCTCCCTTTTCTCCTTCCAGCCAGGTGGGGTTCCTGGTTCCTTGAACACAGCTTGAAAACCACAGACAGGAGAAGTCTACACAAATGCTGAGAAAGAAATAATAGTACATTTTTCTTCTCAGTCCTAAATTTAGACAATATTACCACTTCCTTGGCTATGTTAGAGAACTTCATGATGATGCATACACTGCCACACATAATAATTTTAAAGAATTATTGCTCAGCCTGGTGCGGTGGCTCATGCCTTTTAATCCTACCATTTTGGGAGGCCAAGGCGGGTGGATCACTTGAGCCCAGGAGTTTGAGACCAGCCTGGGCAAGATGGCAAAATCCCACCTCTGCAAAAAATACAAAAACTAGCTGAGTGTGGCAGCATTGGAGGATTGATTGAGCCTGGGAGATGGAGGCCGTAGTGAAGTGAAATCTTGCCACTGCACTCCAGCCTGGGCAACAGAGTGAGACCCTGTCCCAAAATAATAATAATAATAATAATACAAAAAGAATCATACTTTCCTTTTCCTTTCTTTTATCTTAGAATAAAATACTTTCTCTGCCAATCTTTGGGAATAATGTTTAAGTCGCCTCTTTGTAGAAGCTAAAACCTTAACTCCTGTGAGTTAAAGAGAACTGATGGTATAATCCGAATTGCAGTTGGCCACATAGAGTCAATAAAGAGAAGAATAAATAGGAGTTTGTGAGTATGCCTCTAAAGCAGCCCAGCGCAGAATTGTCTCATGTGGACTTCTCCTTGTCTGTTGGTCTATTTGGCAAGCACATCTTGTAGTGGTCCTGGCTTGATGGCAATGCCCATTGAAGTAATTCTGTTATTTTGCTCTAATATTTTAAAGCAGCCCTCAGATATTGCTCTCGTTTCTCAAGTCAACTACTCCACAGAGCATTTTATTTATTTAGCCGTTAAATGTTTTAGTGTAAGTGAGTACAGTCTGATTAGCGATCAGAAACCGCTAAGTTTGTTTAGGCTGAAACACTCCTCCAGTGCCCAAGGAACTCACTGGATTAACTGATTTAAAAAAAAATTTTTTAAACATACAAGAAACTGAGGACCGTAGCCTGGATCTAAGGAAATCTATGTGCTTTGGGTTCGATGCTCTGCATGGGTGACCTACTAACTCTATGTAAGATTTTGTATTTGCAAAATGTTAGTAGTGATTTACTTCCTGGTGGTTAGAATAGGAATGGGTATGATTTTATTAAAATTTTTTTTCCTTTGAGACAGAGTCTTGCTCTGTTGCCCAGACTGGAATGCAGTGGTGCTGTCATGGCTCACTTGCGGCCTCGACTTCCTGGGCTCAAGTAGGCCTCCTACCTCAGCCTACCAAGTAGCTGGGACTACAGGGGCATGCCACCATGCCTTGCTGATTTTATATATATATATTTGTAGAGATGAGGTCTCACTTTATTGCCCAGGCTGGTCACAAACTCCTAGACTCAAATGACCCTTCTACCCCAGCCTTCCAAAGAGCTAGAATTACAAGCTTGAGCCTTGATTTTATTTTTTTATGCCATTCTCAGGTTTTTCAAAATGTGGGCTATAAGCACGTTATTTTAAAAACAAGTATTTTTAATTTATTTATTTATTTATTTATTTATTTATTTATTTAAGACAGAGTTTTGCTCTTGTCACCCAGGCTGGAGTGCAATGGCACAATCTCGGCTCACTGCAACCTCCAACTCCTGGGTTCAAGTGATTCTCCTGCCTCAGCCTCCCAAGTAGCTGGGATTACAGGTGCCCGCCCCCATGCCCAGCTAATTTTTTGTATTTTTCAGTAGAGATGGGGTTTCACCATGTTGGCCAGGCTGGTCTCGAACTCCTGGCCTCAAGTAATCCGCCCGCCTCGGCCTCCCAAAGTGCTGGGATTACAAGCATAAGCCACCGCGCCCGGCCTAGAGATATATTTTAAACAATGTTCCTGTGCTTAAATGTTCCAAAGTAGAGATGAAGATCATCTGGGATATTAATAATTTTTTTAAATCTGCAAATGTTTATATATCTTTCAAGGTTAATTGTATTGTGAAATCTGCCCAAATTGTTTACACTTAAAATTTCTCTCTCATTCATTCATTTGTTCATTCAACAAATACTTACTGAAGAAATATAATATAGACATAGTCCTTTATATCACAAGAAAGGGGCTGATGGGTAAAAGGAAAAGAAAAGGAAAGTGAAAGATGTAACCCACAGTCTTTGTCCTTCAAGACTTCACTATGTAGTGGGGCAGGACTGGGGCATGTACTCATACAGGTACCTCTGAAATGGGGAGAAAAGATGATTGGCCTCTATAGCAAATGAGCTCTTTGATGCACAGTGATAGTAAATGACTTTCATGAGGCTGTATGTTAATATCAGTACCAAAACACCCAGGACACCTGAATTCCTCTTAGGGGTTCATACTCCTGCATCATAAAAACAAGCGTAAGCTCCCGTCCATCAGGTGGGTCTGAAAAGTCATCACAATCCCTGCTGCTTTCCAAGCCCAAGGCCTGGGACCAGGGAGTTCATCTGCTTCCTCAGACAAGACCAACCCCAAAACTGCCTGCAGACTGAGGCTAGGATCCACCCCTCACCAGCTTTAAACACAGCCTGGGTTTGTGCTGGATGGTGTCACCCTTCTGTAGGCTGGTTTCAATTATTTTGGTTTTTAGCTTCTTTTTGTATTCTCTTGGAGGAGACAAAGCCTGTAATTTTATTCCTGTAATACCTCTTCATAAAACCAGTTTACTGATCTTTTTTTTTACTCTGAAACTCATACCAAATCTATGATATACAGCAGTCCAAAATATTTGCGTTTTTTTCTTTTATAATATTAACACATGAAAAAAGTTACCATTCATTATGTTTACCTCCTTTCACAGTTCAAATAGGGTAAATTTTAGTCTCTGTTTCTCAGTGGCTGGATAAAGGCAGAATTTGACAGGCAATTTGAGGGGATTTGTGTAATAAAGCCTAGAAAACTAAACGTTTTGTATGTGTTAAGACAACCTTTGGGTCAAAGTTAAATTCACACAAACTATTGCATAGTAAATTAAACTGAGTTATTGTTGACATTAATATGTAAATGCTTGTAAAAATAATCTAGCAGATATACAATATAGTTACTTTAAAATAAGGCTAAATATTCTATTCTTTATTTTGATTGGATATTTTAAAGGTTATATAATAATTTAATAATTTTCAAGAACTTACTGAATACAGAATTTTTATGTATTTATTTATTTAGAGACAGAGTTTTGCTCTGCTGCCCAGGCTGGAGTGCAGTGGTACAATCTCGGCTCACTGCAACCTCCGCCTCCCGGGTTCAAGTGATTCTCCTGCCTCAGCCTCCCAAGTAGCTGGGATTACAGGCACCCACTACCATGCCTGGCTAATTTTTGTATTTTTAGTAGAGACAGGATTTCATCATGTTGGCCAGGCTGGTCTCGAACTCCCGACGTCTGGTGATCCACCCGCTTCGGCCTCCCAAAGTGCTGGGATTACAGGCATGAGCCCACTGTGCCCAGCCCAGGAATTTTTACTTTTAAGAGGCACATTTGAATTTGGAAATCCACTGAAGTGGATATGAAAGAACTTTCCTAAAGGATTTTTTTTACTTATGAATAAACTAGGTGTTTTCTAGAAAGAGAAATATGGGTGCCATTCAAAATTGCCTAATCATAATTCTGTGAGCTGTTGAAATCAAACAAATGCCTTGATCAGTTGAGCTGCCAGATGGAATTTTATCTAAAACCAGTTCAGCTGCTTTCATACTTCAGGACTCCTGTGAATTTTATCACAAAATTACTTCATACTCCATTTGGAAGGTAGTTACTTAAGCATGGAGTATGACAATTGTTTAACAGTGCACAGTGAAACTTAAATAATTTTTGACTCAAGGAAGGGAGCTATATCTAATTGAAACATCTAGGGTAATTCAGGTAGGCGGTCATAACCGCTCAGGTGTCATGCACTATTCCAATTCAGATTGGCTAATGAGCCTATAAGGCTTTGCCTTGCTTTTCTTGAAAGTTTACTTGTCCATTAGCACAGTGCCACCTAACATCACGCTGGGACATTGATTTCGAATTGATTCACAAAGAAGTGCCGGGGGTCACTTAGTGACTATCTAGTCAATAGCAGGTGTCCTCTGCAGATCTTTCATTTCAGAGTCTGTGCTGTTTAGCTGATGACACAATCTTTCAGCTTTACCATCCCGAGCAGAATTTCCCAATGCCACAATGCTCATCTTAAACATGAAGACTGGTGAAGTGATATGTTGCCATTATTGATGCATCTGTTCCAGAGATTATGTCACCACAAAGGAGTTAATTGGTCTTGTTTTGAGGGTCATGTTTAATTGCATAGGTCAGCAAAGGAAGATAAATGACTACTTCTTTAAGTCTGTGCCTCACTTTTTCTCTAAGACAGCTGAAACAGTACAATCGATTTCCTTATCGCCACAGCTGGCACCATAAGAATGACATACAAGCTGAAAAAGATTACTGGTATATAAAAACCTGAGTTAATGAGTCCAGATAGTTAAATATAGAATATGCTTAAACCGACTTGCTCACAGAAATCTTCCCACATCCAACAGGAAGAAAGGAGGCACTAGATGGCAGTCTTCAACAAACTTGAAATGACATTTCCTCTTAAAAGAAATGCATTACTTAAAAGCAGTCATGTCTGTTCTGAATGAATTTAGGCTTGAGCTCTGCATCATAAAAATTGCAACTCTACGGGCATTATGTACTTTAATGTCACATTATCGAATTTTGTTTTTAAATGTAAAATGATTCCATATATACTTTAAAGGTCCATTGCTAAATTAATTACTGAGTTATTTTAATACCTGTTTTAACTTTACATTTTAAGATGCCATCAGAGAGCTTGTTTCAGGATGTAACAGCTAGGGAAAAATGATGGTATATCCATTAAGTGAAAAATTATGCAGCTGTCAAAAAATAAAGATGTAGAGATAAAGTAGTATGAAAGGATATTCAGGACATATTTAAGTGGAAAAGGCAGATTATAGACTAGTATGTATGGTGTGATCATTCTTTTATGGAAAATAGTATGCCTTCACTGTGTATTGGTATGTCAGTGTTGCTCTCTGAGAGATGGGACTATGGATTATGGATTTTTTTTTGTTTCTGCTTATCATTTTTCTATCAAAAAACATATTTCAGTAGACACCAGGGACTACAAAAGATGGGAGGGTAGAAGAGGGTTGAAGAATGAGAAATTACCTATTGAGTACAATGTTCACTGTTCAGGTGATGGCTACACTAAAAGACTAGACTTCGCCATCATGCAATATATGCCTGTAAGAAATCTGCACCTGTACCCCCTAAATCTATAAAAACAAATTCAATTAAAAGATATATTTCTTCTGAATTATGATAGTTTTTAAGATGTACATAATAGAATAAAATTGCCTTGCTGATCTGAGATGAACTTTTTGAAAATACTGCTTACAGTCATTTCATTTTATTCATCAAGCGTATTTGCCACCTTACCCTATGTGCTTTCTCATGTTGCTCAGTTAGTATTTACACCATGAGATTTTTGTTATTTAAAATAATGCGGGCTGGGCATGGTGGCTCACGCCCATACTCCCAATACTTTGGGAAGCCAAGTGGGAGGGTCACTTGAGCTCAGGAGTTTGAGACTAGCCTAGGCAACATGGTAAAACCCAGTCTCTACAAGAAAATACAAAAATTAGCCAGGTGTGGTGGCATGCACCTGTGGTCCCAGCTACTTGGGAGGCTGAGGTGGGAGGATGACTTAAGCCTGAAAGGCAGAGGCTGCAGTGAGCTGAGATCAGGCCACTGTGCTCCAGCCTGGGCAATAGAGCCAGACCCCATCTCAAAAAATACATATGTAAAATAAAATAATGCAAAAAGTGTTCCCTATTTTTCAAAGCATAGTGAAAATGAGGCTATATATATTAGCAAATTCTAGGCAGATCTCAAGGATGATTTATATGTTAATTTACTTTCTTTAGTTTCATATCCAGGTAGGTACTTACTGGACCAGATTCCATTCACAATGAACATTTATGAAACACCAAAGATGTGCAAATCATACATTATTGAGAATTACAAATATTGGATTGTGAAGGAGATGAAGGTTTTCAAGGGTTATTTTTCCCTATGAGCTATTCTTCATCTGTGTGTATGTACATGTGTTTAGAGAGGAATGTGGAATGTGTATCCCCACCTAAAGAAGATAACGCTTATACCTCTTTTTTTTTTTTTTTTTTTGAGATGAAGTGGCACGATCTTGGCTCACTGCAACCTCTGCCTCCCGGGTTCAAGCTATTCTCCTGCCTCAGCCTCTCGAGTAGCTAGGATTACAGACAACCACCACCGCGCCCAGTTAATTTTGTATTTTTAGTAGAGACGGGGTTTCACCATGTTGGCCAGGCTGGTCTTGAACTCCTGAACTCAGGTGATCCATCTGCCTCAGCCTCCCAGAGTGTTGGGATTACTGGCGTGAGCCACCGCACCTGGCCAATAATGCTTATACTTCTTATCTTCTCTCTTGGACATTGATATCTTTGCTCCTATACTACAGATAGAGAAGAATGTCATTTGGGGAAAAAATTGAAGTATTTTTAGAAATTAATAACAACACACCAAAAGTTTACTTCCATTTGAGAAATACTCCAGAAATAATCTGGCAAGACTGAAAATTTCTATAGCAGACTGTACTGTAGTAGTCTTCATAAAACAAGTTCACAAAGTACAGTTCATTCATAAAGAGTCAGTGTAGACTTTTGGGGAATATTAGAGATCATTGAAAAGAGTATCCTGCTCTTAATAGAATACCTGGCACAGAATATGTATTCAGTAAATATTTGTTCAATAATAGATGGTATCCATCGAGGAGCTTTGATCCATCAATAGACCATCCGGATTGAAAACCTCTGTATACTTGGCGTAAGGAGCTTTAGACAAGGGTACAATGGCTCAATCTGCTGGACATTTTGTTAAGGTATGTTGATCCCCCATGAGCCCAGTTTAGTTCCATTGTGAATAATTATTTAAAATAGTAATATTAAATAATCATCTCTTTGCCCCTCATATGTTTTATTTTCTGCACCCTGAACTTTGAGGTCCTTGAGGAAAACAACTGCAGTATTAAGAGTTTCTATTTTAGAACCAAGCATATGATAGTGGCTCAAAAACTTTTTCTTTGATGAGCAGATTAAATGTTTCTCAATTGAAAAGCCAAGTTTAGGACACCAGACCCTGATGACTGTATTAACCCCAGTGAGAGTCACTGTCCACTTCTTTATCTCTGGTGCCTGGCTTGAAATAGCACAAAATGTTTGATGAATGGAAGGAGGGTGGAAGGGAGAGAGAAAGAGAGAAATTTAATTAAAGATTCAGAGTTTAAGAATGATTTTACACACATTCTCATTTAATCCTAATAACAAACCTGTAGGTCAATTGTCTCATTTTATAAATGAAGAAACAGGTTCCAAATGGTTGAGAGAATCCCTGTGGTCACACAGTTATTGAACATTAGCAGCCAGCAGAGAATGCAGATGTTCTTACGCAGGTCTGGTCCACTCTACCAGCTTGCTTGAGGCCCACATTTGGAGTACTCTCTGTCTCACAGCCACTTCCCCCTCCAATTTCTGTTTGCCATCATCCATCCTCAAACCCTCTCCACCGTGTGTATCCTTCTAGGTTAGTAGCTTCAGCAACCACCGAGTTATTCAACCTAGAAAACTGGATGTTATCCTTAACTCCTGTTCTCATTTTCACATTCATTCAACCACAGGTCCCATCTAATTTGCCTCCTGGACATTTCTGGAACCAGCTTCCCCCTTCCCTCCATTCTTTCGTCCCATTCAATAACCCACCTAAATCCAGGCTTCTGGCCTCTTCCACAAAGCAGAGTGATCCGTCCAAAATGAGGATCTCATGATACCACACCTTTGATCCAAATGTGCTTCTACTAAGAGCCCTCCACAGCCCGCTCTGCACTCCTTCACAAACCTCCTGCCAGTCTCTCCCTGGCCTTTGACCATCTCGCCACACAGACTGGCTTCCATTGTCCCACATATCTTGCAGGGTACAATCACATGTTTCCTGTCCCTCCTCTGATCCCCGGTTCCTTGTTCTGGCTCATTTTAGGAGAATATAGTACTCACCAAATCAGACTTCAAAGCAGGAGACTTGAAACAAAGCCCTCGCAGCTCCCAGAGGGCAGTGTGGCTCTTCCTTCAGTCCCTTAGCCCAGTCTGTCCTCAGCACTCTCCTGTCTCACCAGCCTCTGGGATCCTGACTGAGGTCGGGGCTGGTTTAAAAAGAGAAAAAGAAGGTAGGGAAACTGGATGTGCATGAAAAGCAATTAGCAAAAATAAAAAGCAGATCTAATCAAGTACACATAACAAATGAATAAACCCGCAGGATTGGCCAAGCTCTGTATGACTGCTTTGGTTGTTGTGGGGAGTGAACCCATAGAAACAGTTCCCTTTTTATTTACCTTTTCCCTGTCCCTGTGCCTTTTAAGGATCCCATTGTTGATTTCATGCTGCTTTATTTAGTGCTAGTTCATCATAGCCTTTACCACCTTTGAAAAAGTACCAATTTGGGGCAGGGGATTGGGATAGGACAGTTGCATCCCACATCCCCTATTCTGTTCTCCTTTTCCCCAAAACACATCTCTCTTGAGAGAAGTACTTTCTTAAGTTTCTTGGTTCTTAATGGGACCCCAGATCCTTCCTTCCTTCCAGCCACTGCTGTCACCCATCCATCCAACTCACCTGGGCTGACTAGACTTTGAGGAACCCCTGTTTTAAAACTTCCAGAGCTGATGGCCGCCCCACTTCCCCTCTCCTCTTCTCAGGCTCTACCCCAGATGTGCTGTGCTGGCCGGGGTTCCCCCAGTACTGGGAGAGCTGCTGCTCCCAGAACTCTGGGAATTTCCACAGGCAACTTAGATTTCTGTGAATCTGGGAACACAATTAAGCTACTAATATTTGTTAATTGTCCTTGATTACACAGACTCAGATACTTAGGAATAATGTTTTTAAACATGTGATATCTATGTTAACTCTTTTTAGGAATCTTTGTTTACTTTCAGTTTGCTAATACTAGTGTTCCTGCCCTGACGTATTTA
The DNA here is from genome assembly GCF_000001405.40 of Homo sapiens. Classification (NCBI taxonomy): domain Eukaryota; kingdom Metazoa; phylum Chordata; class Mammalia; order Primates; family Hominidae; genus Homo; species Homo sapiens. The sequence goes on along the minus strand of NC_000012.12, from coordinate 42,564,924 downwards.
AATAAATGCAAATTAAATGCAAGTTAATCCCTTTTGCAATAATTGAGTTACTGTTCTTTATTACCGGTGGTGTTGAGCTCTACATCTGGATACACCACAGTAAGCATATCCTTTTGCTTTTGTTTACATTCTACTAGGACTTAGGAATCCAAATAATTCTGAGATTGACCCCAAAAAATAATAATAACTACATTCTTTTAGAACTAAGTCTTCCAAAGATATTTAGTCAAATACCTCAGTGAAATTTGAGAAATGTTGGTATTCCTAGAATTTAAAATATGACCTCAAGAAAGATTTCTTTTCTTTTTTTTCTTTTTTTGAAGAGTTTCACTCTTGTCGCCCAGGCTGAAGTGCAGTGGCACCATCTCAGCTCACCGCAACCTCTGCCTTCCGGGTTCAAGCGATTCTCCTGCCTCAGCCTCCTGAGTAGCTGGGATTACAGGTGCCCGCCACCACGCCTGACCAATTTTTTGTATTTTTAGTAGAGACAGAGTTTCACCATGTTGAGTTGGCTGATCTCGAACTCGTGACCTCAGGTGATCCGCCTGCCTCAGCCTCCCAAAGTGCTGGTATTACAGGCGTGAGCCACCACGCCCGGCCAAGAAAGATTTCAATAGTGTTTTGGAAAGAGACCTTTTTCTTTTTTCTTTTCTTTTTTTTTTTTTTTTTTTAGACAGAGTCTCCCTCTGTTGCCAAGCTGGAGTGCAGTGGCGTGATCTTGGCTCACTGCAACCTCCACCTCCCGGGTTCACGATTCTCCTGCCTCAGCCTCCCAAGTAGCTGGGACTACAGGTGCACACCACCACACCAGCTAATTTTTTTGTACTTTTAGTAGAGACGGGGTTTCACCATGTTGGCCAGGATGTTCTCAATCTCTTGACCTTGTGATCTGCCCACCTCGGCCTCCCAAAGTGCTGGGGTTACAAGCGTGAACCACTGCACTTGGCTGGAAAGAGACATTTTTCATAGTGGGAGAAGGATGGCATAAGTTTTTTTGATGATATTTCACTTTAGAAATTACATTCTGGTTTGTGCCCATTATCCCAACATAATCATTAACTGTACCCATTGTACTCGAAAAATGTCCTGTTTTGCATGACAAATCGTATACTCTCCCTGTCTGTACTCTATTTAAATATTAAACAATTGATCAGGATTTTTCTTTGTCTTGCAGATACATGCCACCAAAAAAGATTCTTTTTTTTTTTTTTTTTTTTTTTTTGAGACAGAGTCTTGCTCTGTCACCCAGGCTGGAGTGCAGTGGCACGATCTCGGCTCACTGCAAGCTCCGCCTCCCAGGTTCACACCATTCTCCTGCCTCAGCCTCCTGAGTAGCTGGGACTACAGGTGCCCATCACCACGCCTGGCTAATTTTTTGTATTTTTTTTTAGTAGAGACGGGGTTTCACTGTGTTAGCCAGGATGGTCTCGATCTCCTGATCTCGTGGTCTGCCCGCCTCGGCCTCTCAAAGTGCTGTGATTACAGGCATGACCCACCACGCCCGGCCAAAAGATTTTTTTTTTAAAAACTCCAATATTGTGCAACATTCATATACCCATGATAATTAAACATTTAAAAAATACTCCAGTATGTATGTAGTTTGAGAAAAAATAAATTAATATTCTTCTTTCTCGTCCTGCTGGAATTTTGCTTGCCACAGGCAAGTTTTTGTTTGTGGCAGTCAGTTAGCTCTTTATCCAGAACCATAAAATTGTCCTGTTCAAAAAAAATTTTTTTTTTTTGAGACAGAGTCTTGCTCTGTTGGGCAGGCTGGAGTACATTGGCATGATCTCGGTTCACTGCAACCTCCGTCTCCCGGACTCTAGCAATTCTCCTGCCTCAGCCTCCTGTGTAGCTGAGATTACAGGCACCCGCCACCACACCCAGCTAATTTTTGTATTTTTAGTAGAGACAGGGTTTCACCATGTGGGCCAGGCTGGTCTCGAACTCCTGACCTCAGGCCCGCCTCGGCCTCCCAAAGTGCTGAGATTACAGGTGTGAGCCACCGCACCCGGCCCCCTGATCACAATTTAAATTTTTAAATTAAATCTGCCAAAACTTGAATGTAAGCTATGTCTTTATTACTGCCCAGTGTTTCTGGGCAGTAATAAACTGTCTTAGCAGTACAGTTTCTTCCACTGTTATACAATTTTTTTCTTTTCCTTCTGTGATTTAGGATATTGAAGCCACTCTTCAGATAATATTCACATCTCTTCCTCACAATACATAGTTGATGTTTAAATTTTCTTTGTGCATCTGTCTGCAGGTCTTTTGCCTTGCTTTGGTTCTTCCTTGTCTACTTATTATTGAATCTTCACATCTTCAGTTTTTTTCTTACAGTTAATCATTTCTCATTTCTTCCATTTTTAGTTTTAATTTTTTCTTATTTTTAAGGTCTCTTCCAGAGATGCTGTGTTTTGGTATTTTCAGTAGTACTTTATCAGCTGCTTTCAATACATCTGCAACTTTTCTTACCTTCCTTTAGTTCTAATATGTAAATAATATATTTTAACTCTGCCTTTTTAAAAATGTTTATTAATATTTTTACATCCTCGAATTGAGTTTCATTATCTTTTTCACAATCTCTAGTCAGGTTTCCTTCCCTGTCCTAATCATTCCTTTTGTACTATTACCATGTTAGCATATATACTTTAATTTTCTACTGCACAAACAATAAGATATCTTTGCCTTTTGACTGATTTGAAAATGGGTGGGAGCCAGGCACAGTGGCTTACACCTGTAATCCCAGCACTTTGGGAGACCAAGGCGAGCGGATCACCTGAAGTCAGGAGTTTGAGACCAGCCTGGCCAACATGGAAACCCTATCTCTACTAAAAATACAAAACTTACCTGGGTGCAGTGGCACGTGCCTCTAATCCCAGCTACTCGGGGAGCTGAGACAGGAGAATAGCCTGAACCCAGGAGGCGGAGATTTCAGTGAGCCGAGATCGTGCCACTGCACTCCAGCCTGGGCAACAGAGCAAAACTCTGTCTGGAAAAAAAAAAAAAAAAAAAAAAAGAAAAGAAAAAGAAAATTAGTGGAACATCATATTTTCGCTTATTTTCTTTGGAGTAGCCGTAAGATGGGAGCTCAATGACTGGCAAATTGTCAGTGTGATTTTTAATTGGGAATATGCCTTGCCAGCCTTAGACATGACTTTTCATAGTTAACTGTACACAAATATTTCATGGTTACTGTGTGTAAGCATTGAGTCATTTTCATTAAAAATTGACATCTAAAATGGAAAATAAAATACATTTCATTGTCTACTCTGAAAAAGTCTCTGGTGAGGATTTGTAACAGACATATTAACCTGTAATTAAAAACTATTTTGAGCCTTAAAAAATCTAATCTTTAAATTTGAACAGAATTAGTTTATACATTCTTGGACAGAATAAACCTTTCTACAGTAAATAACACATTTGAAAACACATATTCATAGAAGATAAATGCCATCAGTAAGCAATTCTATAACTGTTACAAAACTTACAAGTTGAATGGAGTAGAAAAAATAGTATTTAAGAGAAAAACTTGGGTGGAGTAATCAGAAAGTTTGGTAGAAGAAAGAAGGTCAGAAAAGTGATGTGGAGTGGTTAGAAAGGTCTATTAGTGAAAAATGCCATTGTCTACTTGCTACTTTTCTATTGTGTTATTTTTAAAAATAGATCTTTCGCTTGCAACACACACAACAAAGGGAAAAGAGAATAAAGGTTATTACTAAATATAAGTCCCTTGTTGGCTCAGTCTCCACCATCTTGCTGTAGCAGATGACAGTTTATTATTAGTGGTAGACATTTGAAGGGTGTTGGTTTGTTGAAGTCTAACCTCTAAGTCACTTCCCTAACATGATTTTTCTAATATCTTCAAAAGTTTCTGAGGCTTATCTCTTTTTAATCTTGTCTGGAATTGTGACAAATGCCTCAAGGAAGAGGGAAGGATATAACCTGTCCTCAGAGATTTATAGCATTTCAGGCATCACAAATCCTGTAAGACATTTTTGTTCTTTTTGAGGATAGGACTCTATTAATAATTTTTATGTTATTAACCAAAGTTAACAGCATGATTACATTATAAGAATTCCCAATAGAGCATGTGTTTTTTGTTTTGTGTGTGTGTGTGTGTGTGTGTGTGTGTGTGTGTGTGTGTGTGTGTGTGAGAAGATGGGCTTTTGACCTGCCAAGCTTAAGGGATGATTTTTTTTCTAGAATTAGATGCACATCCACCCTTGTCTAACCTTAGTTGTGAATAGTAAGAGCCATATGTGAGATAGGGTTGGGGATACTGGTTTCAGCCATGGCAAAGCACAAAAGTAAATACCTGCCTAGTCCAGAATAAAATATAGAAATAATAAATGCTAGCTTTTAATGGAAAACTGGGTCACATATTCTCTTTCTGTTTCCACCCTGTCTAACAAATAGTCCCAGATAATAGAAATGGTATAAGTTTGAATACTCATGTCAGATAATGTAAATACCCAAATAATTAAAGGAGGCTGGGTGTGGTGGCTCACACCTGTAATCCCAGCACTTTGGGAAGCCGAGGCGGGTGGATCACCTGAGGTCAGGAGTTCGAGACCAGCCTGAACAATATGGTGAAACTCCATCTCTACTAAAAATACAAAAATTAGCCAGGCATGGTGGGACTTCAAATCTCAGCTACTCAGGAGGCTGAGACAGGAGAAATTGCTTGAACCTGAGAGATGGAGGTTGCAGTGAGCCAAGATCTCACCACTGCACTCCAGCCTGGGCGACAGAGCGAGACTCTGCCTCAAAAATAATAATAATAATAATAATAATAATAATAATAATAATAATAATAATTAAAGGAGATTTCCCAATTATCTGTGATATCTAAATTTTAATACTTTACCTTAAGTTTGAAGAGCTGGTTCCTGTTCTTTTCCTTCCAGTGTACAGAGAGCTATTGGTTAGCACATTAATTTTGTGAAATAATGTTTAGGGAACATGATAGGATTGTTTCATTTGCCTATAATTTGTGTATCATATAAAAAACCCTTCAGCACAGGCTCCAAACTTCACACCTGGAATGTAAGTTCCCCCATTGTGAGAACTTGATAAAGACATGTTTAATCAATCAAATCAGGGAGCATCAATACCAGAGCCAAGGGGTAGGTCAGTTGCCTGTATTTAAGAGAGACCAGACCAGGTGCAGTGGCTCACACCTGTAATCCCAATGCTTTGGGAAGACAAGGCAAGAGGTTTGCTTGAGCCCAGGAGTTCCAGATCAGGCTGGGCAATATAATGAGGCCCCCATCTCTACCCCCCCCAAAAAAAAAAAATATATATATATATATATACACACACACACACACACATAAACACACACATATATATATACATTTGTGTTTTTTAAAAATTTGCTGGGCATGGTGGCACGTGCCTGTAGTAACAGGTACTTGAGAGGCTGAGGTGGGAGGATCGCTTGAGCCCAAAAGTCTGATGCTATAGTGATCTATGATCGCACCACTGCACTCCAGCCTGGGCAACAGAGCAAGACCCTGTCTCTGAGAAAGTTTTTTAAAAACTTAAAAAGAGAAACTAGGATATTTCTGTTAGCATGGCAAGTCTTGAGTGGGCTTTACTTTGGTACATGTTAATTAGGAAGGTGCAGTTAAGCATCTTGACATCAAAATAGCTCTTCTGAATTTAAGGTCTCTGACAGTTCAAATGGCTTATATAGGTTAATGTTTTCTAAAAGCCACCAGGAAACAGTTTGAAATGAGATATGATAGTAGGGACAAGGAAGAAAAAGTGATTTCTTTGTAGGAATTCTGATGCATGTCTAGCCCTTCACAAGAGGCCTGAGCTCATTGTCCTTTGATTTTCTTTTTAGAAGTAGAAGGGCTCCTTTTTCGAACTCCTTAGTAATCCAACTTCCTAATTTTCTACAGAAATCTACACTGTATATTGCAGCCTGAAAGCTAGGACTTGTTGCAAATGAAAAATTTATACAATCATGCGATTTGGTTCACCTGGTTAAATATTAGCTGTTCTTTTTTTAATCTCTGCCTGTTTGCTATTTGATTGACTAAGAAAAATTAACTAATTCCATATACTTGCTCTTTGAACAGTGTCATTTACTTTCTCATTGTAGTGCTCATTTGCTGAGTTTTATACAATATCAACCATGCTTTTCAGCTCTAGCTCCTCTGCAGAAAAACAAAGTTCTTTAAAAGAAAATAAGGTCATTAAAGCCAAGAAATAGCACTTTATTACTTTCTCTAGAAGACTTTTAAAAGAAAGTGTTGCTTTGTAGTTTAGTAGCTCAAAGACAGCGAGCTTGTGGTCCGGTGTTCACTCACGGCTGGCATCCACTGGCCCATGGTAAAGCCAGCTGGGGGACCCAGGCAAGCAGGGTCCTGTTGGAGACCTTCACTGCATTTTCCACAACAGCATCGGAATTTTCCTAAGGCAGTTTCACATCTGGAATTTTAAAGAAAGTTTGCCCTTCCATAAAATGGTAGTAAATCTTAGGAAACATTGTGCCTTTTTTGTTGTTGTTTTAATTAACCTGGCATTTCTCTACCAAACCATTAACAAATGATTGGTTGTTGCCTCCCTTTTACACCCTTCATGGTAATAATGGACAAAGAGGAGGTTTATTAAATTCATTTTGTGTGTTACTTTTGAATTACGGTAGCACGAATATTTCACAGAAAATCTTTTATATTTCTTATATGAGAATATGTATACATTGATCTAAGGTGTAAGTATTACATTTTATTTATGTAAAATAGCACCAGCTTGTTATAAAGGTACATAGTATGAGTGGTTAAACAATATTGAAACACATTTCTAGTAGGTGGCTTTTGTGTAGACATGCCTTTATCCAGTTTTAAAGACAACTAGATAAAGACTGACTTACTCGGAAGCCTGATTTGGAGGCTGTCATCACTCCGATGTGCCAATTACTAAGCACGTGAAGTGTCTCTCTAAAAGCCAATTTTAATGACTCTAGCCTGCTATTAGAATAGTCTAATCAAATTCTGAAAGCAACAGTCTCTTATTTTAAAATGTCAAAGCTGTTCACTTTTTGATTGAAAAGATTGTGATGATTCTGGAATGAGTAGCTTAGTGTGTGTTTGAGGAGCCTTTTACACAGAGAGAGAGAAAAACTCTGCATGGTTACATAAAACAGTCATGAAACCTAAAATTTGATTTGCCAGTTTTATAAAAACAAGATGACTCCCACAGAAACCTCAGAATTGTAATCACTCAAGTCTTCCATGCATTGTGCATGATGGATAACATAGGGATAGATCCAGGCCTTTTCTAACTCCTAAAGCAACTTTTAAATGAACAAACATGGACATCTTTTAAAAATAGAGCATTTTCAGAAAGGAAGAGAGGAGTTCTGTTTGTTACTTTGATTACTGATTCCCCCCACCCCAAATTTTCAGGGAAGCATATGTTGGGGAGGGACGATGCAAACTAGAGATTATCTGCTGCTCTTGTACACAAATTGAGCTACTTGAGCTGGCAAGTTATTTAGAATGTGAAATGCGTTTTCCCAAACGATGTAACCAGATAGGGTTAGCTTGCTTCCTTCATTTGGCCCTTCTTTCATCTATTTAACAGACACTTAAGTGAGTTGCTTCTCCGTCCAGGCACTGTCCCCAAGCCAGTCCACAAAAGCTTAAAGGATAATGCCTATGTATTGAATAAACTGACTTTATTTTAAAAGCCTTCAACCATTATTTTAGCTAGGTGCATATCTTCCTGTCATTGAGTAGCACTCAATGTACCAGTCACTCCATGTACCAGTCACCACTCTGGTAGAAAGTAAAGGCCTTGAGCCAGGCAAGGTGGTAGTCCCAGCCACTTGAGAGGCTGCGGTAGGAGGATCACTTGAGCCCAGGAGTGCTAGACCAGGGCAAGATGGTAAGAACCTGCCTCTTTAAAAAAAAAAAAACAGAAATTTTGTTTTAACAAAATAAAGGTTCATTCCTTGGTCTTTGTCCTAAACTAAGCCATAAACTCTGAAGGCAGGGCAGTGTCTTATTCTAGTCTGGGTGCCTGGCACATTGTAGGTGCTCAGAAATAATTGTTGAGCAAAGCATAAAAACTACTGGTGAAGAACATTCAATTTTGCAAAACCCATATCTTTGCATTATCCATTTTAATCCTTCTTTGCACCCCATCAGGCATGTACATATATTGGAAAGTCAAGAAGTTGGGTATTGGCTATGTAAACTTCTTGACTAATTATAAACTTGACTATATAAACTTCTTGACTAATTATAAAACTCATTTGTTCAGTCACTTAATAAAGATTCATTAAGGTCCCTACTTCGTACTGGATCCTATTTCTGAATAAGGATCTAGATCCAAGAGCACAGGCCTGGAGCTCAAGAGCCTGTGTTTGACCCCTGGCCATGACGCTTAGATAGTAGCTGCATGATCTCCAGCAAATCAGTGAAGCTCCTCTATAAAGTGAGGATAATAATCCCTCCCTTACAGGGTGGGATTCTATGATTAAATGAATTGTATAAAATACTTAGGCCATGTATAGATATTATTGTGGTGATGGTCATGGTGGTGGTTGTTATTAGAAAGAACAAAGATGATCATGTCTTGTGATGGAATGGGGCAAAGGGGAGGAGCCAGGTCTTCCAGGGTCTTGCTGGCCTCACAAACATTTGAGGCGTCATCCTTGGGCCTGGGAAACATTGAAACCCTTTATGCAGGGAGAGGGTTGTAATGAAGTCTGTAGCTTTTTGCTTCTCTCAAGGCCAGAGACGCTCATTCAGCAAATTCAACAATCAATTGCTTAAGGCAACCTAGTAAGTGGCCACTTGCACATAATCAATAGGACTTTATGCCTGAATTACAGAAAATAATATGGATTGTATTTAGCAACTGAGTGAGGTGGTAAATGTTTGCTTACCTTCAAAGTGGAATTAAGAGATACATAATGTTACAGACCTAACCTCAGGCTACTTGTAAAGAAAATCAAATTTGGTGATTAAATAGTGAAAGGCATAATTCTTTTTACTCTCTGGGCCCTTAGAATAATAGAAGGTTTATATGCACTTGGGTTAGGAGTGAGGTTATTGCTAATGCTGAACAACCAAGTGGTATATAAAGAAAATGCTATGCAGAAATAATGGCCATTCTAGAAGGATTCTAGGGGGATGCTTTTTTAACAGCTATTTTTTACTGTTACCTTTATTAATTGTTAAAATATTTAGAATGTATTATACCTTACAAATACCCATTTGTTCTATCTCAAAATTTTGTGTTAAGCTATAAAAAGCCATAATGAGAACATTTTCAACTCTGAGCTCTGTGTCATTTGAAACTCAACAAAACATTGAAATAATGATCTTTGTGTTCCCTTATAAGAAAAAGCTAATTATGGGTATGTAATACTCAGGTAAATATATGTTGTGAAAGGTTTTAAATTTTAAAGGTGGGAATAAGAAAAGCAATGAAAAGAAACATTGCTAAACTGATTTTATACTCTTACATAAAGATTATTGTTTTTCGCATCTATAACCACAATAATACTATTTAACCCCAAAATAGTTGGGCCAAGTCTATTCCATTTTCCTCTGTAGTCTAACAGAAATTACTGCTTTTTGCTTTGTTTTGTTTTTGAGATGGAGTTTCGCTCTTGTCACCCAGACTGGAGTGCAATGGCGTGATCTCGACTCACTACAACCTCTGCCTCCCAGGATCAAGTGATTCTCCTGTCTCAGCCTCCCAAGTAACTGGGATTACAGGCGTGCACCACCATACCTGGCTAATTTTTTGTATTTTTAGTGGAGACAGGGTTTCACCATGTTGCCCAGTCTGGTCTCGAGCTCCTGACCTCAGGTGATCCACCCTCCTCGGCCTCCCAAAGCGCTAGGATTACAGGGATGAGCCACTGCGCCCGGCCTGAGAATTTATGTATTTTAAAGGAGTTTGAAGAATTTTGATAGCTACCCACCCAAAGCAACACTTAAATGAACCATCCCATCTAAGTGTCCATATTGCACTACCTAGTGAGGTACTCGTGTAAGAAAAAAAAAAAAAATAAGTTCTAGTCCATTTTGTTTTATTTAAACTAGAGGAATTTTCATCTTGTTGCCCAGTACCTTAGGGAAAGAGTTGGTGAAGAGAACGTGAGCCTCGGTTTTAGTGGGAAAGTTCTGTGTTTTATAACCTTCACCACGAAGAGAATTGGGCTTTGCTGGCATTAGCAAATTCACTCCTTTATTCTCTTGGGTTTGGTTAAAAGTCCTTTTTTAAACTTGAAACTTCCTTTTTTTCTAGCAAGAATTTGCCTCACCTCTTGTGATGCTTTTCTTCCTCACAGGTTTCCAGTTCGCCCTTTGAGTAACTTGTAAACTGCAAACGAGTCTAAAAGGGAAATACAAAAGTCATCTCCCACCTTTGGAAGACATCAGTGTCTATTCCATCTCCTTTTAAAAAGATAACGAGGGAAATCAATGGCCATAGTTTTCTTGGAAATAGAATTTTTCTCCAACTACCATTTTGGTCATTTGTATACGGCTTTGCTGAATTCTAAGTTTTCAATGTAAAATTATGGGTTATTTTACTTTTTCCTTTTTTTAGTCATTTGTATTTTCTATTTCCTTTACAATAAGAATGAGGAACACTATGTAATGAGCACATAACATATCAAGACTTACATGCGTTCTTTCTTTTAATCTTCACAACAATAAACAAAATGAATTGTTTTAAGACCCTGTATAGTATCAGCTTATTTAATGTCACCACAGCTTGATGGGTGTTTTGGTCTCCTGTTTTGTTTTTTTGTTGTTGTTGGTTTGTTTGTTTCGTTTTGTTTTGAGACAGAGTCTCACTCTTGTCGCCCAGGCTGGAGTGCAATGGTGGGATCTCAGTCCACTGCAACCTCTGCCTCCCGGGTTCAAGCAATTCTCCTGCCTCAGCCTCCCCAGTAGCTGGGATTACAGGCGCCAGCCACCATGCCCCACTAATTTTTACATGTTTTAGTAGAGATGGGGTTTCGCTGTGTTGGCCAGGCTGGTCTCTAACTTCTGACCTCAGGTGATCCGCCCGTCTCAGCCTCCCAAAGTGCTGGGATTACAGGCGTGAACCCCTGCGCCCGGCATTTGTCTCCAGTTTTTAAAGGAGAGAACTGAGGCAGATGTTCAGTGATTTGCTGCAGGTCACCTGGTGTAAGCAGCAGAACCAGACTTGAACCCCAGCAGTGCGACCCTACAAGCCATTGTCTTAACTTGCTAGAGTACCACTCCCTCCATCACATTCAGAGTGCCTGCTATTATCTGTATTTTACAGATGAGGAAACTGAAGCTTAGAGAGGTTAAGTAACTTGCCCAAGGTGACGTTACCCTGGGCAATGATGGAATAGGAGGGACACTCAGACCCCCCCCGCCCCACCCACCCCCTGATTCTAGAGCCAATTTGCCTTTCAGTAACACAACACAATGGACTTATTGTTTGGAGAAAAACAGTTTTTTTTTTTTTGAGACGGAGTCTCGCTCTGTTGCCCAGGCTGGAGTGCAGTGGCGTGATCTCGGCTCACTGCAAGCTCTGCCTCCCCGGTTCACGCCATTCTCCTGCCTCAGCCTCCCAAGTAGCTGGGACTACAGGTGCCCGCTACCACGCCCGGCTAATTTTTTGTATTTTTAGTAGAGACAGGGTTTCACCGTGTTAGCCAGGATGGTCTCTATCTCCTAACCTCAGGTGATCCGCCCGCCTCGGTCTCCCAGAGTGCTGGGATTACAGGCGTGAGCCACCAAGCCCGGCCGAGAAAAAAAAAAAATTTAAGAACCTGGGGATGACACATAAATATTCATATTCTAAGACAGGGGTCCCCACCCCCAGGCCAAAGACCAGTACCAGTCCTTGTCCTGTTAGGAACCGGGCCGCACAGCAGGAGGTGAGCCGCCGGCCAGCGAGCAATACAGCCTGAGCTCCACCTCCTGTCAGATCAGCTGCAGCATTAGATTCTCAGAGGAGCTCAAACTCTATTGTGAACCGCGCAGGAGAGGGATCTAACCTCCCTAGATTGCGCGCTTCTTATGAGGATCTATTGCCTGATGAAAACATCCACTCCCACTCCACCTCCGTGTCTTCCATGAAACGGGTCCCTGGTGCCAAAAAGATTGGGGACGGCCATTCTAAGAGACCACTTCCCTATTTGTCAGAAATGTGATTGTGTTTACTCCAATTTAAAACAGGGTCTTTACATACGTTCCTAATACAAGTGCTGCTTGCTACTACTACTCACAGCGCTCTGTGCCCAACTCTTAACTTCCTCCCTCAAGTCCCTCTGGAAAGAAGAGAGGAGATGCCTTCCTTCTGACGATGGGACCCCCATTGGTGATTCCTGAGACTTTATTGCTAATTCTCTGACTTTGGCTGTAATGACAATAAGAATAAAAAAGCAAATAGAACCCACCTTTGTGGAGCACTTGCTCTGTTCGGGGCTCTGGACTAAGTGCTTTTCATACATTGTCTTACTTAGTTTCCTGTTATTAATATTCCCTCCATTTTACAGAAATAGGAAATAGTGTAGAGTGACATTAAGGAACTTTCTTGGCCTGGCACGGGAGCTCACACCTGTAATCCCAGCACTTTGGGAGGCCAAGGTGGGAGGATTGCTTGAGCCCGGGAGTTCAAGACCAGCCTAGGCAACATGGCAAAACCCTGTCTCTACTAAAAAATATAAAAATTAGCCGGGCGTGGTGGCATGCACCTGTGGTCCCAGCTACTTGGGAGGCTGAGGTGGGAGGTTCACTTGAGCCCAGGAGGCAGAGGTTGTAGTGAGCCGAGGTTGCATAACTGCACTCCAGCCTAGACAACAGAGTGAGAGCCTGTCTCCAAAAAAAAAAAAAAAAAAAAAAAAGTAACTTTCTTGAATGTGTACAGGTTGTGAATGGCTAATGGAGATTTCAGTCAGTATTTGTCATACTTGACAAAATCCACCTTCTTAGCTTCCATGCCATACTGTAGGTTAAGGACTGTAGTAGTTTTAAACATCATAGAAATATAGTGGGGCTTTTTGTTTTTTGGTTGAGGTGGTGTGGATCAGCTGCTTCCCACCAACTGGCTTTTAAAAATTCAAAATCCTTATTAAGTTGCTTCATAACTATATGGTGTCTGCTTATGAAATTAACTGGACTCTAGCATTGGACCCATTGAAAATCAGACAGCCAACCTTTTGGAAGAGAGGATGTCCAAATAAACGTCTCCTCTTCCCTTGGGCCACACACAGGGAGAAGAAACCAGCTTCAAGCAATTGGCCCTAATGTGTGTGTTTCTCTTTCCTCCACTCTCCTCCTTCTTTATTTATTTGCCATCATACAGAGATGGCACCCTTATTCTTTACAGGTGGATCAATATTTACAGCCATTCAGTGGGGACTTTGTTGGCTCTTCCTGTTCTGCAGGCTGCTGTGTAACAAAAGCTGCCTGTTTTTCTGGGACCCTCCACATCTGCTAGCAGAACTGCAGTTAGTATTACTGGGAGCTTTGACTGATGACCAGTTCAAAGTCAGTTTGTTTGGAGTGCTTACAACAATCTTCCTGTTTGCTAGGAAGTAAAATAACTCTGCTACACACAGGTATCAGACCCAGAAGGCAGATATGTGGTTCACAGTAGACATTTATTTCTCCATCTTTATTTTTTCTCATGATCACCTCAACATTCTGATGTGTGATCACAACCATCTGTACAATTATAGTTATTTAAGCTACCGTAAGTTTAAAATTGAAGGTTGCATAGGTGCATATTAACAAGGGTGGTGCTGATAAATTTTTAAAAAGAGTTAGCTGATCACAATGGCATTTTAAAATTAATGAATGCAATTGGCTTTAATTATTAAAAAAATACATAGTCTAGCAGGCTTCCTCAATAAGGCTTTTTTGTGCTGACTGTGGCACATTTTTCCTCAAATAATTGCAGAGCTCAGCTTTATCATTAAGCAGATGGTTTCTATTAATTCCCAAGGAAAGTAAATGATTGCAATTAACCAAACACTCAAAAGTTGAGGATTTTAGAGTTCAGCCCTAGTACTTCAGGCAGGAATCTGTGTGTCACCCTGTTAGTCAAGGTATGCCAAAAAGGAGAAACTCTCTTGACAATTTTATAATGTCTCCTCCTTTATAGATGGGCTTTGAAAGTAACTTCGAGCGTTCTCAAAGCTAAGTTACTGCTAAATCTCTGTTGACTTGCTGGTTCTAAGTTTTTATGGTGTTTTCTGTTGATTTGTTGTTTTGTAGTAGGAAGAGGATTGGAAATATTCTAGATAAATCTGAGTAGCAGTTGAAAACAGTTCAAAAACTCTGTAAATTCAGGTAGTACTATAGGGGTTATGTCTTTTCCACAAATGCCACTGTGTTTCTTTGCCCTATAATACGACATTTGGGAGACTATTTTGTTGGCAGTTTCAAAGAAAGGATAAACTGATAGAGAATACCCTTATGCAAGTCACCCTTTCTCTTCCAGTAAATAAACTAATGTTTCCAGTGAATTTCTTCAAACTTCTTGGTTTTAACCAAATGATATTGCTTCTTCTTTTCCTCATTTTAAAGTTCAGTCATTTACTCAACAGATTTTTTCTTTCTTTCTTTTAAGATAAGGTCTCGCTCTGTTGCCCAGGCTGGAGTGCAGTGGCGCGATCATGGCTCACTGCAGCCTCGACCTCCTGGACTCAAGCGATTCTCCCACCTTGGCCTCCTGAGTAGCTGGGACCACAGGCATGTGCCACTATACTCAACAGATTTTTGTTTGGGTGAGCTGCTGTGTGCCAGGTTGGAGGACAGAAGGAGAAAAATATTTTGTCCCTGATTTCAAGGGGCTTGCAATGTGGGTGCAAAGTCTGACCTTGTGAACAATAGCAATACTGTGAGGTACATGGACAGTGGAGCATTTCAGCATGTGCAAAGGTGTCAAACAAGAATCAGAGCAGAGATGCTACTTGAGCTTGGGCTAGAAGGATGAGTGGAAGTTTCCCAAGTTGTTAGTATAGTAAAGAGGGAAGAGTGTGTGCAAGACAGGGAGGCCCCCAAAGCAGGTTAAGCTCAAGGACCTCTTAGGTAATTAGATGTTGCCAGAATGCAAATTTCAAGGGAAGCATGTTGGAAGCTCAAGTCAGACTGATAGGCTGGGGCCAGATAATGATGCCCTTTGGAGCTTTGCTAAGAAGTTCAGATTTTATCCTGTAGATGATACTCTATGTGGCAGCAGTGTGGTGTATGGATAGATTAGAGGAGGTGGAAACGGACTGGAGAGATAAGTGAGCCATCTATTACACAAGCTAGGGAAGAGAGGGAAGGGTCTATGGGGACTTGTAGGTTTGGGTTTAGGCAATTGTTGGGAGGAGGCTTGTGCATTCTAGAGATAGGGAATGTGTGGTGCCTTTGAGTCATCGAGGTGGAGATGTCAGTGAGAGGTAGGGGTGGGTTCCATGATCCCGGACCCTAAAGGAAAGATGTGGCTTTGAGTCATAGTAAACCCTAACCTGAGAACTCTGCACATGACTCCTGAAACTATGTCAAGATAAGTTTAACAACAGGTATTTCCACCTTTGTTTTCTTGTTTCTTTAACTTTTTATGTTGTAGTCATGCGAATTCCTTAGGATGTGGATTCAGCTATGGCCAGTTTGATGTGTGTTCTTACCCCTAACCAAGCTTCAGCAGTTTGATAACATACACATCTGGGAAATGAGGAACGCTGGGCGGGTAGCAAATTGTTCATTAATATTGCCCCTAATGGTTTTTTTCCTAGCTTTCTATGGAGAGAGGTGATCTTTATCTAGGTTTTTTTTTTTTTTTTTTTTTTTTTGGAGACAGGGTCTCACTCTGTTGCCCAAGCTGGAGTGCAGTGGCCCGATCTCAGCTCACTGCAACCTCTGCCTCCCAGGTTCAAGCGATTCTCCTGCCTCAACCTCCCAAATAGCTGGGAATATAG
The DNA here is from genome assembly GCF_000001405.40 of Homo sapiens. Taxonomy (NCBI): domain Eukaryota; kingdom Metazoa; phylum Chordata; class Mammalia; order Primates; family Hominidae; genus Homo; species Homo sapiens. Next base: position 42,548,993 of record NC_000012.12, on the reverse strand, counting down.
GCACAAGCTATCACACAGCTAATTTTTGTATTTTTAGTAGAGACAGGGTTTCACCACGTTGGCCAGGCTGGTCTCAAACTCCTGGCCTCAACTGATCCACCTGCCTCGGCCTCCCAGAGTGCTGGGATTATAGGCATGAGCCACCGCGCCCGGCCTCACCCTTCTTCTTAAACCAAGTGATGGAATCTTCTGAGACTCATATTTGCATCCTTGTCATCAGTTTCAATTGGAGGTGAGGGATGGACAGGATAGCACATTCTCTCCATCTGAAATAATGACCTCCATGCTACTCACCTCCTCTCCAAATCCCACCTCAAAGACTCAACACAAATCCCACCTCCTCTTCTTTTGACTGTACCTTCTGAAAGTGAGCCTAGCTTTGCTCTTCGGAACTCCTGTAGTGTTTATTATTTTGCACCCTTTATTTACCATTTAGCATTTGCTACTTGTGAAGTTAGTTATTCCAGTGTGCATAGATGCCTTCAACCCCCTTCTAGATGGGTGTCTTCTCAGGAGTACCCTATGACCCTCTTTGGGTTCCCCGCTTTTTGTCTTCTATATTGACTTATGCTTACGAAGCACATAATAAATATATATGTGTTAATATGTTCGAGAAATTTTAAAATATAGGATGGTTTTTTCTACTGCATATACAGGTTGAGCATCCCTAATTCAAAAATCCAAAATCTGAAATGCTCCAAAATCTGAAACTTTTTGAGCACACCAACATGACACCACAAATAGAAAATTCCACACCTCAAGTAACTGGTTGACCTCAAGTGACTGGTTGCAGTTAAAACTTTGTTTCAGCTGAGCGCAGTGGCTCACTCCTGTAATCCTAGTGCTTTCAGAGGCTGAGGCAGGAGAATCTCGTAAGCCCAGGAATTTGAGGCCAGTGTGAGCAACATAGTGAGACCACATCTCTATTAAAAAACACAAAACAAACAAACAAAATTTAAAAACTTTGTCTCATGCATACAATTATTTAAAATATTGTAGAAAATTACTTTCAGGCTATGTGTATAAGTTGTATATGAAACATAATTAAATTTCATGTTGAGACTTGGGTTCCATGTTCGTGATATCTCATTACATATATGCAAATATCCTAAAATTCAAAAAATCAAAAATCCAAAACACTTCTTCTCCCAAGTACTTCAGATAAAGGATACTTAACCTGTACTATGAATGTGTAACCTTGATTTTCCTCTCGTAAATTAACATTATCAGTTATAAACATAGCTGCCTTTATTATGTATATAACATTGTTAATCCGAGAACCTTGGAAGTGGGTTTATCCAGCTCCTAGCTTTTAATCTGAATTGACCTAATGATAATAGATCATATTATTTGAGCATAGTATACGTTATCCCATTCAGTCTTTAAAAATAGTATCAAGAATTAGGTGTATTTTTTCCCATTTTACAGATAGGAAAACTGGGCCTTAGAGAAGATAAGTGACCTGTCCAGAAACACACAGCCTTGAAGAGACAAAGCTGGGACAGGACCCTGCTGGGTTCAGCTCCAACTCCAAGTCCTGCGGTTTATCCATGGCATGGTGCTGCTGGCCTTTGTACATCTGTTATATTACATAATCTGCCCAAGGGCCTCATGAATACCTTTTGCTAGCCTCATTTACAGATAAATAAACTGAAATTCAAAAGTTTTAGATGGCATACCAGGGTTATTAATTAGGTCTGTCTGTCTCCCAAACCTTTGTTCTTTCCACCATACATCACTTCCTCCTAGTAGTAGTTGCTAGGAAGATGCCTCAGTAAAGGTTTGAAGTAGCTTATTACTAAGACCCTTCCAATTCTAAGTTTCTATGTTATAGGAGGAAGATTTATCAGGGAAATAACTTTTCAGGGATAGAAATTATTCCAGCTACAGAAGGTAACTTCACACCTCCTGTTGATTGTTCCTATATTAGTGAGAATGCATGAATACTTGGAACTTGCAGCTAATTCAAAACAAAACAAGCAAAAACTTGGGGTATATTTTGTCAGAACTGTTAACAAGTAATAAGAATGGCTGGTTCAAGTTTCTTTCTTTTCTTTTCTTGCAAAATAGTTGAAATGAAAGTGAAAGGCCCAAGGACAGACAACAAGAAAACACATATAAAGGTTTCGAAAAAGCCACAAAACTGCATAATTCAGCCAGTAAATTTAAGAGTTTTATAGCCAGCTTAAGAAATTATCAAGTGCTAAATGGAAGATTCACTATTTTATTTTGTTTTGTTTGAGATGGAGTCTCGCTGTGTCACCCAGGCTGGAGTACAGTGGCATGATCTCGGCTCACTGCAACCACCACCTCTGAGGTTCGAGCAATCCTCCCACCTCATTCTCCCGAGTAGCTGGGATTACAGGCACATGCCACCACACCTGGCTAATTTTTGTATTTTTAGTAAAAACAGGGTTTCGCCATGTTGGCCAGGCTGATCTCAAACTCCTGACCTCAAGTGATCCTCCCACCTCAGCCTCCCAAAATGAGATTCACTACTTTAAAAGATCTCAAGTGAAGAATAATATTTAATTCTTTACTCAGTTTGCCTCAAATATCCCTGAAAGCTGGATAGCATAGAGAGTCAGCATTAAGTCAGGTGAAAAGTTCCTTCCATTGTGTGAATCTGTTTTCACTTAATTTTTGTTTATGTCCACTATTCTCATTTTGTCTCAATATAACATAATTTTGTCTGTGATTGATTACCAGTCCTTTTCAAATTTATGTGTACTGTGATTTAATTAACTTTACCCTTAAGCAATGTGTTTTGAGACATATTAATGAGGTGGGAGTCTTTTCAGAGTATTCATAACTTATACATCCTTCTTTCATTTTTTGGCTTGGCATCAGGCTTTGAAATTCTACAAGGCAAAGGTCTGAATTCTGAGCCTACCTGACTCCAGGGAAGATCTCCTATATATTTTCTGGCATGTTTGTTCGTCAGTGTTTATGAAAGATTGCTTTTTTACATCTAAATTCTTTTCTCTATTGCTGATTAAGAAATTACTTGAAAAAAATCTTTTGACTATAGATTTTTTTTTACTAAGTCATTCAAATAACTTTCAAGAATCTCCCTCCTTCCATATATATATATATATGGATATATTTTTCCTTCCATATATATATTTTTTTTTTTTCTTTTTTGAGACGGAGTCTTGCTCTGTCACCCAGGCTGGAGTGCAATGGCGCAATCTCGGCTCACTGCAACCTTTGCCTACCGAGTTCAAGCGATTCTCCTGCCTCAGCCTCCTCAGTAGCTGGGATTACAGGCACATGCCACCATGCCCAGCTAATTTATTTTATTTTTAGTAGAGATAGAGTTTCACCATTTTGGCCAGGCTGGTCTCAAACTCCTGACTTCAAGTGATCTGCCTGCCTTGGCCTCCCAAAGTGTTGGGATTACAGGCGTGAGCCACCGCACCCAGTCCCAAAATATTTTAGTGTGTTCAGTTTTAATGTTTTCCAAGAACATACTAAAACAAGATACAAATAAACAATTTAATGCATGAGACTTTGGGAAATTATGTATTTCTCTTCCATTCTGCCCAGTACATTCTTACAATGAGAAACTGCAGAATGCAGCATGGCTTTGTGCATTTGGATATGTGTGTCATTCATTGAATGACATTCAACAAGTTTTTTTCAGTGCCTACTAACTATGTGCTAGGTGCTGTTAAAATTCAGTGTGAGGCCAGACATGGTGGCTCACACCTGTAATCCCAGCACTTTGAGGGGAAGAAGCTGAGTAGATCACTTGAGCTCAGGAGTTCTAGACTACCCTGGGCAACATGGCGAAACCCCATCTCTACAAAAAATAAAAAAATTAGCTGGGCATGGTGATGCGCACCTGTAGTCCCAGCTACTCAGGAGGCTGAAGCAGGAGGATCACTCGAGCCCAGGAGGTTGAGGCTGTAGTGAGCCATGATCATACCACTGCACCATGATCTTGCCACTGCACTCCAGCCTGGGTGACAGAGCAAGACCTCATCTCAAAAAAAAAAAAAAATTCAGCGTGGTAGTCCTAGGAGCTCTTTTCCACTTCTCCTGCAAAGCAAGGAGAAGGAAAGCAGCTAATCCTCATATGTGATAACAGGAGGTCAGACCAGACTCAAGTTGTAAAATCAACTGTGGTAGTCTCTACATATTATTTTGAAATGTAGAGGTAAATCTCAGAAGAAATAGCACAAAGAGACAAAAGTGATTGCCTTCAGCAGCCAGGTAACTACCATTTCTGTTGTAAGACTTTTTAGCCCTCACTATTTTGCTCTTAAAAACAAGTACTTATATATTACTTTGATAAGATAAAAAATAAAAATTTTTAAGAGCATAACTAGTTCTATCAGAGGGTTAGCATTATCTTTAGAGTTTTTGGTAGAGAGGGAACTTCCTGATGGAACTCTCCTGTCCTGCAAAGGGTAATGTTCACTAACTTTTACTTGGCTTATCTTTAGGGGCCTGAAGTTAGGTCCATAAATGTTAACATTATGGGAGATGGGAAGATGGGAGTAGGGGAGATTTTGCCTCAGCAGATTCCCAGCCCAAATCCTGAAAGTTGCAGAGGATTTTAATTGTTAGTGATGATAGATGACAAATACAACAAAAATTAGCTGGAAAAGTGGGAAGATTGTTGAGGAATAGTGCATTGACAGACTACAAAAAAAATTACATCTACTATATAATTAGCTATACTTTACATATACTGATAAAGAAAAATACATACCTTCCTAATGGAAAAATCTGGTGCTGACCAACATAATCAAGTGATCACTCGTAAATTTGTAAATAGTGAGGCAGCCTAGTATGTTTCTTGATGGGCAGCAATGTTGACCCTTGAACAACACAGGTTTGAACAGTGCAGGTCCATTTATATGTGGATTTTCTTCCACCTCTGCCACCCCTGAGATAGTAAGGCCAGCCCCTTCTTCTCTTCCTTCTTCTCAACCTACTTGACATAAGATGACATGGATGAAGACCTTTATGATTATCCACTTCCACTTAATGAATAGTAAATGTATTTTCTTTTCCTTATGATTTTCTTAACATTTTTTCTCTAGCTTACTTTATTGTAAAAATACAGTATATAATACTTATACAAAATATGTGTTAATCAACTACGTTATCAGTGAGGCTTCTGGTCAACAGCAGGCTATTATTATTTAAATTTTGAGGAGTTGGCCGGGTGCGGTGGCTCACGCCTGTAATCCCAGCACTTTGGGAGGCTGAGGCAGGCAGATAACGAGGTCAGGAGATCGAGACCATCCTGGCTAACACGGTGAAACCCCACCTCTACTAAAAATACAAAAATTAGCTGGGCATGGGGGTGGGTACCTGTAGTCCCAGCTACTCAGGAGGCTGAGGGAGGAGAATGGCGTGAACCCAGGAAGTGGAGCTTGCAGTGAGCCAAGATCGCGCCACTGCACTCCAGACTGGGCGACAGAGCGAGACTCCATCTCAAAAGAAAAAAACAAGTTTTGAGGAGTCAAAAGTTCCATGTAGAGCTGGATGCGGTGGCACATACCCATAGTCCCAGCCTTGCGGGAGAATGAGGCAGGAGGATCACTTGAGCTCAGGAGTTCGAGTGCAGCCTGGGCAACATAGTGAGACCCCATCTCAAAAAAAAAAAAAAGAGTTATACATGAATTTGTGGCTGCTCAGGAAGTCAGCGCCCCTAACACCTACATTGTTCAAGTGTCAACTGTACACAGTGTCACCAGTGAAATCTTCTTTTCAAGAACATTTAGCCTGAATCTTAGCAAGCCTTACACAGTTTATAGGAAATAAAGGGGTGTCTTCATTCATTTGAACTGCTGTAACAAAGCACCTTGGGCTGGCTGGCTTATAAACAACAGAAATGTATTTCTCACAGGGCTGAAGACTGGGAAGCCTGAGATCAGGGCACTGGCAAATTTGGTATTTGGTGAAGGCTTGCTTTCTGGTTCATAAATGATGCCTGTCGCAGTGTCCTTATATGGTGGAAAGAGCAAGGCAGCTCTCTGAGGCCTCTCCCATAAGGACAATGAATCCTGTTTGTGAGAGCTCTGCCTTCATGACCTATCACCTCCCAATCGCCCACCTCCTAGAACCATCACACTGGTAATTAGGTTTCACCATATGAATTTGGGGGTTAGAGGACGCAAACATTCAGACCATAGCAAGGGGCTAGCAGAATATGTTAGAAGTTAACGTAAACAACCAAATCTTGAATGTGGGCCCTTCTGTAAGACAACTGTCCTGCAAAATGCAAAATACAACCTTATTGGATCCTGGTTAGGAGAAAGAAATAGCTTCTATTAAAACATTTTTTAATACAACAAAGGCAAAACAAATTATTATTATTATTTTTGAGACAGAGTCTTGCTCTGTTGCCCAGACTGGAGTGCAATGGCATGATCTCGGCTCACTGCAACCTCCGCCTCCTGGGTTCAAACGATTCTTCTGCCTCAGCCTCCCAAGTAGCTGGGATTATAGGCATGCACCACCACACTCAGCCAAGTTTTGTATTTTTAGTAGAGACGGAGTTTCACCATATTGGTCAGGGTGGTCTTGAACTCCTGACCTTAGGTGATCCACCCATCTTGGCCTCCCAAAATGCTGGGATTACAGGCATGAGTCACCGTGCCTGGCCGCAAAATAAATTTTTAAAACAAATTGAGAATATTGAATATAGATTAAATATGTAATAACATTATGAAAAAAAATCATATAAAAGCCCTAGTTTTATCTTACTTTCTTTGACAGCATAAAAAAAAAACCAAAGACCACACAAGCCATATCTTGGTGACATCTTACACCATCATATCAAAATTCTTGGCATTTCTGCCCCCTTAGCTGTCTTCTCACACCCTGTTCGTAGAGTGATGAGGGAGTAGCTTCTAGCTCTGCTCCTTACTAGGCTGCTGAAATTTCCTGGGCAAGCCATCTTCCTCTCATAGCTTCATTTTCTTGGTAAGATAAAACAATTATACTAGCCCCCTGAGGACTATGTTCGGAGTGAGTTCTAGTATGACTTCATAAACTTGAAAGGACTACACAAATGAGATGTTGCAAGCCCGTTTCTCTTCCTGGCTCTGTGCTTCCTGAACCCTATGGCTAGAGGGGAGCATGGATCCCCTTCTTGACTTGCTCTGTCATAAACATGATCTTAAACGTGAACATGCTCACTATTCTACCTTCAAGGAAAGGTCAGCCTAATGTAGGGAACAAGCACTTCTGATCCTTTCTCACCTGACTGTGCTGATACACAAGCTCTTTGGCTAGTGACAGTCACCTGGCCAGCCTTGGAGGATGTTACTGGGACTGCTGTCTCTTGACTTTGATGAGGAAAACAGTTCTGTGCTCAAAAAAGGAAGAGTGGGGGTCCAGGCATGGTGACTCATGCCTGTAATCCCAGCACTTTGGGAGGCTGAGGCAGGAGAATCATTTGAGCCCAGGAGTTTGAGACCAGCCTGGGCAACATAGTGAGACCCCATCTCTACAAAAAATGTAAAAATTAGCTGGGCGTGGCAGTGTGCACCTGTCCTGACTACTTGGGAGGCTGAAGTGGGAGGATTGCTTGAGCCCAGGAGGTCGAGGCTGCAGTGAGCCATGATGGCACCACTGCACTCCAGCCTGGGCAACAGAGCAAGACCCTGTCTCAAAAAAAAGAAAAAAAAAAGAGAAGAGTAGAGTTGGCATGATTTTTGCATAGGAAACAACAACCAAACCAGATAATTGAGGACAAAAACAATCTTCTTTGTGATCTGAGTAATTTTTTCCTTATATAGTATAAATTATGCATATAATCGCCAACTTCTGTTTTGTTCTGAGCTATCTGGACCTCATTTCAGCAACCGATGCCTAAAAGTTTTCCTCTGGAAAAGTGCATCTTATGTTACCAACTGTATTTGTATATTAATATATTTCTTGAAATTGTACTTCAGTTCTTTGAATTATTTATCTCTGAATGGGGGCTATAGAGCAATTCCAAGTGAGCAGCTAACATACTTGTTTAAATGAAAAAAAAACCAAATACCTCTCTATTCTACCCATAAATAGATATGTTGTATAATTTGAGGAAAGATTTCTAAATACAACCACAAAGTGAGAGGATCTTAAGGAGTAAGGAGGCTTGATGGAGGTAGAAGAAAATATTTTGGCTGGGCGCAGTGGCTCACAACTGTAATCCCAGCACTTTGGGAGGCTGAGGTGGGCAGATCACCTGAGGTCAGGAGTTTGAGACCAGCCTGACCAACATAGTGAAACCCTATCTCTACTAAAAATACAAAATTAGCCAGCGTGGTGGTGCATACCTGTATTCTCAGCTACTTGGGAGGCTGAGGCAGGAGAATCGCTTGAACCCGGGAGGCGGAGGTTACAGCGAGCCAAGGTCACACTATTGTACTCCAGCCTGGGCAACAAGAGCAAAACTCCATCTCAAAAACTATATATATATATGTATTTCATGACCACCAAGCTATGATAAATATCTTTCAGATATAATAAAAAATAATTAGCATTCATTTAAAGCTTACTATATGCTAAATATTTGTTTACTATAAGTGCCATATGGTCAGTATTGCATTTAATGCTCCTAACAATCCTCCTTGCCTTCCCATTTCACCAATGAAGAAACTGAGTCTTAAAGAGATAATTTTCCTAAGACCAACATGATGAGGAGGCTGAGTAGAGAATTTGTTTTCAGGTAGCAACTTCAGACCCAAACTCTTAACTGTGACACTGCAGCCATCTTTCTATCAGAGCTGCTTATCTCCTCCTGAGGGAAACATTCTATCAGTTATCCTCTCCACAGTGAAGTGGGAGTTTGAGGAATCTTAGCACAAACTTTTATTGGCTTATGTTATGTAGCATGAGTAAAGCTATGGATTTAACTCTTGAAACATTTCCATCTTTTAATGTGAAAAACACCATCTTAAACAAAACCAGGGAGGTTCATGATGTACACACAATATAATCCCTGATTAACTTGACTAGGTGGAATGAGTCTATGTTGTACTGATCACAGTTGATTTTCTTCTCACACCGCCTAGAATGCCCACTGGGAGAGATATCAAGTATTCTCCAGGACATTAGATTGTAATTAAAGGCAGTGTTCCACTGTTTCTTTAACTTTCTCTGAAGTCCAAAATCAAAACCAGAACCCTAGCATACTTGACATTTCTTTCAGTCTTGTGCATTAATAAAACTTTTTTCTTGTTGCTTTGTCAGGAATACATTTAAGAAGGCACAAAGGACTCTTTAAAAAAACTTAATGCATAAATATGTGACTTTTCAAAATACAAAAATGACTGACTTTATAAACCTAACTCTAAAGCTTTTAATTAATAACTGATTACAAATAGTGATTGCTGAGATTTCTAGAAAAATAGGAAATTTTGGATGGAAAGCCATCATAAGAATTGTGCTCATAACAAGACAGCAGCTGTCTTATTCAAAGACATTGCTCTCTATTTCAGGGTAAAATAGAAGGTCTCAGTAATATAAGAACACAGATAAAGTTTCTGGTTGTATTACTTTTTTTTTTTTTTTTGAGACAGAGTCTCGCTCTGTCACCCAGGCTGGAGTGCAGTGGCATGATCTCAGCTCACTGCAAGCTCTGCCTCCCAGGTTCATGCCATTCTCCTGCCTCAGCCTCCCGAGTAGCTGGGACTACAGGCGCCCACCCCCACGCCCGGCTAATTTTTTGTATTTTTTAGTAGAGACAGGGTTTCACCGTGTTAGCCAGGATGGTCTCGATCTCCTGACCTCGTGATCCACCCGCCTCGGCCTCCCAAAATGCTGGGATTACAGGCGTGAGCCACCGTGCCCAGCCAGATTGTATTACTTTTGTGAATATTTTAATCATTTTCTAACTTCAAGACAGAACTTTGACGTTCAAGTTTTTGTACTTTCAGGATACTATTCAGCATTCCTTCAGCTATCAAATTACATTATATTTTCCAGCTATTTCTTAAATTATTTGATGTATGCTATATTAAAATTTAAAATTCATTTTAAATCTGCTAAACAGAATTACTTCCCATGTTTTTTTCTTGAAGTTGAGCTAGCATAGCTACCACTCTCTAACTTTTGGGAAATCTAAGGCAATAAATGGTTAGATAAAAGACCTAATGTCTTTAAAAAAGAAACAAGAAACTGTATTTATGTGTCACATTGCAGCAATTTGCAACAAACTGCATCATATATAATGCACTTAAAGATAGGAAAACTTACTTCCCTTGTATCCCTACACTGTGTGGTCCCTAATTAGGGATGTGAAGAGCAATAATATGTGGTTCTGTGTCTTAATGAGCTTAAAATCTAATTAGGAAGACAAAAAAGATACACATCAAACTATTAGGGCATTAAACCATATGGTATTAACTCTAGTAGAAGTTCAGAGAAGGGAAAAAGAATGATGAGCTAGAATCTTGATACTCCATGCTCGGGACATGGAGTGATCCTCTGACCGGTAGCAGTTCTGTTGTTCAGAGTTTATTAGTATTGTAAAATGTCAACACTTCCACCCCCGCACCCCTACCTTCTGTATCAGAATCAGCATTTTAACAGCATCTCCAGGTGAATGCTATGCACATTTAAGTTTGAGAAATGCTGAGTCAGAACAATACAAGCACTGTGTTTTTGACCCCAGATCACTATCCAACAGAACCTTCTGCAATGATGGAGACCATCTATTTTTTTTTGCTGCCTAGTATGAAGCTACTAGCTGTTGAGCAACTTGATAGGTAGCTAGTGAAGCTGAGGAACTGGATTCTTATTTCTAAATCTAAATTTAAATAGCCACATGGACCTAATGGCTACTATATTGGACAATGAAAGAGAAGAAAGAGCACTGGATATATATATTTAGAGACAGGGTCTCCCTATGTTGCCCAGGTTGGTCTCGAATTCCTGAGCTCAATCGATCCTGTCTCCTCAACCTCCCAAAGTGCTGGGAATACAGATGTGAGCCACACCCAGCCAGGAGCACTAGATTAAGAGTCAAGAGATTTAATACTTCTCCCAACAGACACTCTTTGGATGACCTTGGGAAAGTGTTTTTAACTTCCCTTTGCCTCAGTTTTGTTATCTATAGGTGATAGGTTTCATTGCATTATGTCATTGTTTTATTTCAGTATTACTGTTACACGATTGTTTGGTTGAAAGAATGCTTCTTTGAACAAGTGAGTCCTGAGATGGACATGCCATTTTGGGAGTGTATCTTGGGCAGAGTCCCCAAAGCACAGGAAGGGATAAAAGTTGAATTTACCAAGTAGTGGTTCCACAAAGGAGGAGAGCGTAGTTTGCTAATCAGCACATATGAAATATTCAGAAAATGTCTTGTTTTCCACTAAATCTCCAAGGCTTCAATCACTGTCTGGTACACAGTAAACACTCATTAAATATTTGTTGAATGATTGAATCAAAGTGATGGTTAAATATTCAGTAAAACAGAGTTGGTATTCAAGCCTGTTTGATATGGTCAATATTACTGCGTTTTGTTTGGTTTGGGTTTTTGTTCCCTGGCAGATTTGTTTAAGAATAGTCTCAGATGACCAGGCATGGTGGCTCATGCCTATAATACCAGCACTTTGGGAGACAGAGGCAGGATGGTCGCTTGAGCCCAGGAGTTCGAGACCAGCCTGGGCAACATGGCAAGACCCTGTCTCTCCAAAAAAAATTTTTTTTTAAATTAGCTGAGCATGGTGGTGCACACCTGTGGTCCCAGCTACTCCAGAGGCTGAGGCAGAAGGATCACTTGAGCTCAGGAGGTTGAGGCTACATTGATGAACTGTGATGAATCATGAACCATGATTATAGTACTACACTCCAGCCTGGGTGACAGAGTAAGACCCTGTCTCAAAAAAAAAAAAGTCTCTACTTAGGCCCCAGGTAAAGCAAAACAGATAATTTATTAGGCATATTTGTGTTGAGTGAGGTGTTTTAATTTAGCAACACCTAAATAGGATCTTTATGTTGAAATTTTTGTAAATGTAAGAATCAAGAGGAGCCAAAACAACTCTATAGGTGGATTACATGTAGTTTTACCAAAGAGTTAATTTAAGAGCATTGCTAATTATAATATGTATACGTACCAGTAACCCTCCCAAAGATGGATAAAATTTGCCATTATATGAACATGAAACTTAATGAGTCCTCATAGCAAATGGAGCAAAAACTATGCACACCAAGTGAAGAAAAGCTCTTCAAGATGAAAGGGTGGACAAGAGGGATGGGAAGAGGTAGGAGAAGACAGTGATGGGCTCAGGGGCTATTCAGGCATCAGATGACCCAAAGAAAGTGGCAGCATCTTGCCCAGGTGAGCAGAGTTCAGGAACTCAGAAATGAGAAACTTCTACACATAAGTTCAGGGAGTCAGATGAGAGAGCTGTTAGAACTAAGCAGTGTAGCAGGAACCAAAGAAAAAGTCCAGGTCTGAAGACTGGGACACAAAAGAATATAGGAAACCATACCCCAGGAGCCCTTGGTTAGTTTCAGGACACGGGACTGTGAGTTCAGGAAGGCAGCTAATGTCCAACTCCGCTGAAGAGGGAGCTGGATGGAGAATTGATCTGAGGAAACAGGAATTGGTTGGAAGGAGAAATCAGCTGGAGGATCTAGGGGTGGTGAAAACCAGGAAAAGCTCCCAGACCTAACATTAGTTTGCATCACCAAGAGGCATTTTTAATGTTGGCCCTGTTTTGTGGTGTCCCTCCTTACATTCTATCCCCAGTTTCCTGGATTAATTTCTTTCTTTAGCATCTTCATTTCTGGAAATAGACAAAAGTCCCCTTGGAGTCCCTCAGTTCCAGTGTCTAAGTCTTTCTGCCCATAATTGCTACTACTACAGATGCTGATCTTTTCATCTTTTCCATTCTCTTTATCTTTTGGCTTTTGCACATTTGAGCGTTTCATCACACTGTTCAGTGGGTGATATTTCTGTGCAGACCAGAGAACCAAGACTTTTCTTTTACTCGGGTGTTGCTTTGAATGTACTGTGTTAGTTTGTGGGTAAATTATGATGTGAGTGTACCAGCCTGTGCTTCCTTCCTTTGCCCTCTAGAGTAGCTGATGAACTCCAAGGGGGAAAGGGACTATCTCTTGTTCATTATCATATTCCTACACCTAGCACAGATCGTCATATACATTAAACAACCAATAACTATTTATTGACTCCTGGCTGTTTATATCTATATTTATTTTCTTTTATTTCTTTTCTTTCTTTCTTGTTAAATAGACAGGTTCTCACTCTGTTGCCCAGGCTGGAGTGCAGTGGCACAATCATAGCTTACTGCAGCCTCAAACTATTGGGCTCAAGCAATCCTCCTGCCTCGACCTCCCCAATAGCTGGGACTAGAGGGTGTGTAACCATATCCAGCTTGCACCTGCATTTCAGAGTTCTGCTTCCTACTCTGTTGGCTGCCTGCCCCTAAGGAAGAGCAAACTCATTCTAACCACTGGGATTCTCAAACAATTTTCTCAATGGTCATAAAATTTAGGATCTTTCTGACCACCTTTCTGCTATTTTGGCTAACACTGGCCTTTGTTGACCCTCATATCAGTTTCCTCTATACTGACTCTGATCCACACCAGGTCTGTTCTGTTTGAAAAATCCAACTCAAAATAGCTTCTCTGAGAAAAGGAAATGTGTTGGTTCATTCAGTTGAAAAGTCCAGGACTAAATCTTGTGCTAGCGTGGTGGAATCTATATGTTTTGTGATTCCTAAGGACTGTCATCTCTTCTTCTTCAGCATGTCTTTCTCTTGTGCTGGCTTCATTGTCAGGCAATATTGTCCAAGATGGAGCAGGTGTGCACACCAGCAGCTGTAAGTTTGTATCTTCCTCAATAATTCAGGAAAGTTCCAGAATTGAGCTGATGTGCCATCAGTCATATACCATATCTGAACCAGTTACTGGCCATGGGTATGGAATGTTCCAGTTGGCTAGGTTTACAGGGTCATGTGTCCCACCCTAAACCCGAGGGTGGGTTCTGCCCCACCAAAACTGTCACAAACTGAGAGTGGATGAGAGATGGTGTCCCAGAGAAAAATTATTTTTATTAGAGAAAAGGAAAATAAATGTCAGGAAGTCAAAAACCATACATATCTACTGCAGCACACTATACATATTTTCTTTGTCCTTACTCCATGGCTTTAGACAAGAATGATTTGTATTTTGTTCATAGGTAGGTTTATCTTTCTAGGAAAATAAATCTGTTTCTTTGGGGTTTTTTTTAGTATCCCCTTTCAAAAAACTGTTCCTTTTCCCACCATTGTGGGGGTAATGAACATCTGGGTGTAACACTTGGAAGTAGAGACTCTGCCAAAGAGAGGAAGAGTCCTGACTCCAGAGTCAGCAGATCCCTGCTCTGCCCTTTTCAAGGCATGCTGCCTTAGACAAATTATTAACCTCTTGCTTAATATCTATCTCAAAGGGCTACTGTAGAGAATTAACCCATTCTTATGTGTAAAGTTCTTAGCATGTGTCTAGCTCATCAAAAGTGCTTAATGCATTTTACCTATTGCTTCTGTTGTTAATGATAATAATAATAGCCACAGCTCACACACTGTTGCTGGCCCCTGTGCTGGATGCCCAAGGCTGAAATAGCTCTGGCATCCTCCCACTCCCTTATCATAGTCCAGCCAACACTGGCCTGCCCTTTTGGAATTCACCCGAGTCCCCATCCACCCTGGACCAGTACCCGCACCTCTGCAGGAAGATGCTTATTCCCATTCTTCCTGGCGGGCTCTCATCTCTAAGGGCTCATCTTCAGTGGAGATTGTCCATTGTCAATGGAGAGGACTTTCCTGACCCCTTCTGCATCCGGATCTGCTCTTTTCTTTCTTTCTTTCTTCATCTTTTCCTTTATTGCCCTGACCACCATCTGTAATTATCTACATGTTTTTGAGTGCTTCTATTACTGACCGTAAGCCCTACTTTATACAATAAGTAGGAGTTTTGATCATTATTTCTCAATAAAATAAATCTAGGTCAAATATTTCCTGGGCCTACTTGACAGTAATAGGAACCTTTTTGAGGATACAATGAGGAATGTCAGAATAGCTAGACAGTGCAGAGCTAGTGATGGGGGAATATTGAGAGAAAATGTTGAAAAGGAAATTGGGCTAGTTTTGTCGTTAGGGGCGTTTTTGTGTGGGAGGGGAGTTGTGAGGGCACAAGATGAAGAGTGTCAGAAGAACAAGGCCTCTGCTGTGTGAAGTGAGTGCCATGCGTGTGACATTCCTTTCTGTTTTGTTTTACTTTTCAGAGTAAATTTAGTCTATATTTAGCATCTTTGCCAATTTATGTATTTTCTCTCTCTCTCTCTTTATTTTTTGTGGGGTATGGCAGTACAAGGAGGTGTTGGTCACGTTGCCTATTTATTATACAATTCCCCCAAGCACTTTGGCAACTTTATAAATAATGACCATTTATGACTGTTGTCTAGACTTAACAAATGGTTATTTAACAGGCAATGAAATAATTTTCCCACAGTTCTTATACTATATTTACACACACCACTTTTAAGGAGCAAATGTTAGGGCTTGTGCTCAAAATGTAAGTCTTGTTCACAGCAGTGAATTATTCTCTATGGACAATGAAATTAGTACTCACTGGTATGAAACGCAGAACAAAGACAAGTACAGTAATTTTTCAGGGATAAGGTTCTTGGAGTTGAATGTTTAAGTCATCATAAATCTAATCAGTGCTGATTGGAAAATATTAAATAACATAACGATTCATTAACTTCACAATAATATAGATTTATTGTCAAACGGGTAAAAAATACAGAAAAAAAAAAAAGAAGAAAAAAAAATCTATCCCCAGAATAACATGGTAAACATTTTGGTATATACCCTTCTAGGTTTTTTTCTCTTATTCATGGATTTTTAAAGCATACAATTAGAAATATACTGTACTTATGTCATGATCTATTTTTAAATTTTAATATCTCATTAATGATTTTCTAGATCTAAGCCTTATCTATAGCTACACTATTTAATACTGTAACCACTAGCAACATGGGCTGTTGAGCACTAGAATTGTGGCTAGTCTGAATTGAGATGTGCTGTAAGTGCAAAAAACACACCAGATTCCAAACACAATTTTTTTTTTTTTTTTTGAGACGGAGTCTCACTCTCGCCCAGGCTGGAGTGCAGTGACACGATCTCGGCTCACTGCAAGCTCCGCCTCCCGGGTTCACACCATTCTCCTGCCTCAGCCTCCCGAGTAGCTGGGACTACAGGCGCCCGCCACAGCGTGCGGCTAATTTTTTGTATTTTTAGTAGAGACGGGGTTTCACCGTGTTAGCCAGGATGGTCTCGATCTCCTGACCTCGTGATCCGCCCGCCTCAGCCTCCCAAAGTGCTGGGATTACAGGCGTGAGCCACCGCGCCCGGCCGGAACAAGAAACACATTTTTAAAAAGTAAAATATCTCATTACTAATTTTTATATTGATTACATGTTGAAATATTTCAAATAAGTTGAGCTAAATAAAATATATTAACGAAATTAATTTCACTCGTTACTTTTTACTTTTTCTAATGTGCTTACTAGAAAATTTAAAGTTACAAATGTCAGTCATATTCTATTTCTGTTAGACAACACTGGTCTATAGTTTTATAGCTGCATAATTTTCTATTATGTGAGTAAAATTATTTGACCGGTTCTTAACCACCATCTTGTTGAATCCTCAAGATACTTCTTATTTTTTAGTATTAAAAATTACTCATTGACCACCTGTACATAGAGATGTTTTTTACATATCTCTGATTGTTTCCTTAGGATTTACTGTTAGAAGTAGAATTGCTAGGAAAATGAAAATTGTTATTTCTTTCTTTATTTATTTTTTGAGGCAGAGTCTTGCTGTGTGGGCCAGGCTGGAGTGCAGTGGCACAGTTATGGCTCACTGCAGCCTCAACCTCCCAGGCTCAAGCGATCGTTTCCACTTCAGCCTTTCAAGTAGCTGGGACTACAGGTACATGCCACCATGCCCGGCTAATTTATTTATTTATTTTTTTGGTAGAGATGAAGTCACCCTATGTTGCCCAGACTGCTCTTGAACTCCTGGGTTCAAGCGATCTTCCCACTTCGGCCTCCTAAAGTACTGAGATTACAAGCATAAGTTACCATACCTGGGCAAAAATTTTTAAATGAGAAATAATGTTATAAATAAATGAAGAAAGTAAAAAATAATGCTCTTTCTCTTCATTATTCAATTATCTTTCTCTAGAAAGAGAGTATCATTCTGATCATTAGCAGTTGTTCATTTTACAGTGAATCAAAAGCACCATTTCAGCTGTATTCAAATTAATTAATGGTAGCTACCATTAAGTTGTTTTTGAAAAGTCAACTCTGAGTTGTCCTGTTTTATGTGAATTACGAAGTATTAAAGATTGGAGCTCAATGTTATCCTTTCTCCTGAATTAAACTACACACCTTTTAGTTTATTGATTGCACACAATTATGAAATGGAAAAGATTAACAGTAGGCATATTTTTAAGCCTTTCTGAATTATCTTTGTAATACTACGATGGAGGAAAGGTGTAGGCAAAGGAGTTGTGAGCCTAAGAGATCATTTATCAGAGGTCCAGAATATTTGATCTGTTATCTGTGTGAATGTATAACCTAACATTTTAACACTATTATTGTACAATAAAAACAAAGCCTTGGCCAGGCGCGGTGGCTCACGCCTGTAATCCCAGCACTTTGGGAGGCCGAGGCGGGTGGATCACAAGGTCAGGAGATCGAGACCATCCTGGCTAACACGGTGAAACCCCGACTCTACTAAAATACTAAAAAATTAGCTGGGCGTGGTGGCGGGCACCTGTAGTCCCAGCTACTCAGGAGGCTGAGGCAGGAGAATGGCGTGAACCTGGGAGGCGGAGCTTGCAGTGAGCCGAGATCGTGCCACTGTACTCCAGCCTGGGAGACAGAGCGAGACTCCGTCAAAAAAAAAAAAAAAAAAAAAAAGCCCTTAACATCTTTAGCAATAGGGCAATACCACATGAACAAGGTTGTACTTTTCTTATAAAATTAATCTGATGGCTGGGCACGGTGGCTTATGCCTGTAATCCCAGCATTTTGGGAGGCCGAAGCAGGTAGGTCACCTGATGCCAGAAGTTCGAGACCAGCCTGGCCAACATGGTGAAACAGGGTTTCACCATGTTTTACAGGTGCCGGGCACCTGTAATCTCAGCTACTTGGGAGGCTAAGGCAGGAGAATTGCTGGAACCCGGGAGGCAGAGGTTGCAGTGAGCTGAGATCATGCCATTGCACTCTAGCCTGGGCTGACAACAGTGAGACTCTGCTCAAAAAAAAAAAAAAAAAAAAAAATTATTTGATAAAATACACTGACTTTTTGCCTAAAATGGCCAAGAGAGCCTCTGTAAAACCTTCCTTTGTGTCTTTCTTAGAATTTTTGCATTTTGTACTTTTCTCTAATGTCTTTGGGATTCATAGAAAAAATGTTGGGAACCTTTAGGAGTTGCTGAACTCTCATATCCCCTGAGTAGTATTAAAGAAAATGCTGATTCAAGAAATCGAGCTTACGTTTGATGAGGCAATATAGTGTTATTGAGGATTTAGTGGACTGAACAGTGACTTGAATATAATTTAGGGGGAATGTTTTATGGCATTTCTAGAGTATAAAATGAAGAGTTTCCAGTTCACCATTAGTGTTTCATATGAAATAAAAAATTACATTGTCTGCCAGTGGAAGAAGAAGAAATAAAAATCTATAATTTAATCCAACTTGAAAATTCTTCCTTATAGGCCGGGCGCAGTGGCTTATGCCTGTAATCCCAGCACCTTGAGAGGCCGAGGCAGGCGGATCACTTGAGGTCAGGAGTTCAAGACCAACCTGGCCAACATGGTGAAACCCCGTCTGTACTAAAAATACAAAAATTAGCCAGGAATGGTGGCATGTGCCTGTAATCCCAGCTACTCGGGAGGCTGAGGTGGGAGAATTGCTTGAACCTGGGGTGGAGGTTGCAGTGGCCAAGATAGTGCCACTGCACTCCAGCCTGGATGACAGAGTGAGACGCCACCAAAAAAAAAAAAAGGAAGGAAGGAAGAAAGGAAGGAAGGAAAAGAGAAAAGAAAATTCTTCCTTTTTCCTTTTTTTTTGATAAGGTCTCACTCTGTTGTCCAGGCTGGAATATAGTGAGTGGAGCAATCTTGGCTCATTGCTTCTTGGGTTCAAGCAATTCTCGTGCCTCAGCCTCCTGAATAGCTGGGATTATAGGCATGCGCAACCATACCTGGCTAATTTTTTGTATTTTTAGTAGAGATGGCGTTTTACCACGTTGGCCAGGCTGGTCTCAAACTCCTGGTCTCAAGTGATCTGCCTGCCTTGGCCTCCCAAAGTGCTGGGATTACAGGCATGAGCCACTGCACCGGCCTTCTTAACTTTTGATCTAAAGAATTTGAAAAATCAACCCTGCCCTCACTAAGCAAAACTGTAAGCAGGATTGTCTGTAAGAATCACATTTCTATCCTTTGGCATTTTAAACAAGAGAACTAATATTTTATTTTGTATAAACAATAGCAAAGCATAAGCTAACTTGACTCTTCTGTCTCCCAAGAAAGTAGACAAACAGCTGCCATTCTGGCAGTTAGAAGTACTAAAATTTATTTTAAAGGCTATTCATTTATATTTCTTTTACCCTGTCTACATAATTAATAGCTTAGTTTAATTCTATTTTAAACTTTTGCCATCTGCAGGATTGCTATACAGTGGTGACATCAAGTCCCATAGGAACATGTTTGAGTAATTAAGACTACAGAAAAGGCTTCCAGAACAACATTTTGATTACAAATAAAATTCAAAATAAAATATCTAGTTTTGAAGGACTAGGTATTTTTCCTAATTAAAAAACAACTGAAAGCCTGTCATTTACTTAGTATAATTTTGTAAGTGTTTCCATGTGTAATGCCACAGAGCTAAAAGTCTAAGTCTGATACATCCATTCATAAAAAAATAAAAAATAAAAACAGTAGAGGGACAGGGGCCATTTTCAAGGGAGCCTTCCCTTAGCCGGTGGTGGCTTAGAGGCAAAGAGTCATCTTTTGGTTTCCATATGAAGAATTATTTGAGGTGCTACAAGGATTATTTTCTAACTAGTATGATAGAGAAGCTGTGTAGTCTGTTTTAAAAATTAAATGGTACAGTTCATTTACATGTTTGTTGTCTAGCTTACACATACATGTTATATATGTGATTATTTTTCTTTATTTCATTCAGTCAGTGGATATTTTTTGAGCATTGACTGTGAGGATATCCAGTGGAGTCTCACAAACTGGCATATTCTGAACATTTCTAATTACATCAACTTCTGCCTGATTGACAGAATATGAAAAATTCTGATGGTTCACATGTTTAATACAAACATTTAACTCCTTTATAACTTATTGAACTTACCTATTTAATAAGCTAATATTTTTAAAGCAATAATGTTTTATTATGAAATGACATTTAAAGGCAGATGTAAACCTATGCTGTAATTTTTAGGTTGTTTTTATTAAAATGAAGACTTCTTGCAAATGTTGTTTTTCTCAAAATTAAGAGCTCTCCTTAAACACGATTTTATTTATATATTTATTTTTGCTTCAGTAAGACTTCCATAAAAAGTTAGTTTTTCGGGCTGGGCTCAGTGGCTCAAGCCTATTATCCCAGCACTTTGCAAGGCCGAGGTGGGAGGATCACTTGAGCCCAGGAGTTCGAGAGCAGTCTGGGCAACATGATGAAACCTCATGTCTACAAAACAGTTAGCCAGGTATGGTGGTGCACAACTGTAGTCTCAGTTACTTTGGAGGCTGAGGTGGGAGGGCCAGTTGAGCCCGGGAGGCAGAGGTTGCAGTGAACTGTGATCTTGCCACTGCCCTCCAACCTTGCTGACAGAGCAATACTCTGTCTCAAATAAGTAAGTTAAATACATAAAGAAGATAAAGAAGGTTAGCTTTACCATGTAAATTTTATGATGTTTGCATTTTATTTTATTTATTTGCCTTATGGCTAAAAGATAGTATATAAAACTTTGGAGATATATATATATATATATATATATATATATATATATATATATATATATATATATATTATAAAGAGTATATATAAACTCCAGTTGGTAGCCCCTATTTAATAGATTACTTATCATTACATACGGATCTCAGATAGCTGCCCATTCTTCCCAATATCAGTGCTTCTTGATCATGTCTTATTTAAAGAATTTTTTTTCTTTTAATTCCTAACATTTTACTCTCCATTTTATAAATGAAGAAATCAGGGCACAGAGGGATTTAGAAGATGCATGTAATTCTGAGACCCAGCCCACCACTTTGTTCACTTCCTGCTTAACAAATTGAATGGACAAGCATTTGTTAAGTACCCTCTCTGTGCCAGGCATATGCCATGTCTTGATGGGCTCCCAGTAAAGTCTGAGTAATTGGCCTTGTCATGAAATGGGACTTCTAGCAGTGCTTCATCTCATTGCCTGCTAAGTGGATTTTTGAGTTGCATCTTGACTTCCATGCTGGAAGGAGAAAAGGAAGCAGTTTTCCTATAGAATACACACCTTTAGGCTGGGCGGGGATGGTAGCTCATGCCTGTAATCCCAGCACTTTGAGAGGCCAAGGCAGGCACATCACTTGAGGTTAGGAGTTCAAGGCCAGCCTGGCCAACATGGCAAAACCCCTTCTCTACTAAAAATACAAAAATTAGCCAGGTATGGTGGAGCGCACCTGTAGTCCCAGCTACTCAGGAGGCTGAGACAGGAGAATCACTTGAACCTGGGAGGCAGAGATTGCAGTGAGCCGAGATTGTGCCACTGCACTCCATCCGGGGCTACAGAGTGAGACTCCGTCCCAAAAAAAAAAAAAAAAAAAAAAGAGGAAAAAAAAAAAGAAAGCACACTCTTAAATTGTACCCTTTTCCACTGACACCATCTGACTTCTTCACTTCTCCTTTATCAACTGCTCTAGTCATATGAATGTGTGGCGATAGTGCTGGTCCACAGTGTGACATTGGGCACATCACCTTGGACAAGCCCCACTCACCGTCACCCCTATATCATTCAAGCAGCATACATAGTCTCTTGATTCCATCTGGTAATTCTCCCTTGAATCTAAGCCCTTGTTTCATCCTATTGCCATGCTAGAGACATCATCATCATCATCGTCGTCATCATTATTTTACATTTTTCTAACTGATCTTTCTGCCTCAGCCTCTTTCAGCACTCCTCTAAGCATTTTTTTTTTTTTTTTGGCTTAGAGGAGTGTTTTTAAGGGGGAACAGTGGCCATGGTCACTGTTCCAAAAGGCAATTCTGCTCATGACCTGACTGTGCTAAAATGTGTACCACTTCTCATCAGTGTTCACATGCAAGGCCCTCTGCAAACTGGTCCCAGTCGGCTCCTCCAGGACTCTCTATCCAATTTCCCCATGTGCACTCTCAGCCACACAGAACCTCTCACCACTCTCAAGGCAGAAAAGCTGCTGGGTACATCTTCCCCACTCCTAAGTGACACTTCCATCACTTTTTTGCACTGTGTATTACTATTCACTTTCCAGCTCCAGATCAGATGTCCTCTGTGAAGTTTCTCTTAATTCCCCCAAACAAACCTCAACCTCTGCCCCCGCCAACTCCTCAGCATTTTCTTCAAACCTCATTCATACCTCCATTCTGTAACTTATTGCATCAGCATACAAGCATACAGTTGTCCCTCTCCCCTACCAGGTTGTAAAGCTTTTCAAATACAGCATTTAAAAAAAAAAGAAAAAAGATTTTTGTTACTCTAAGGTCTAGAAAAGTGCCAAGAAATACCCATGAATCGTGAATGCACCTCTGGCCTGAGTTTTTGCCTACACATTCTACCGGCTGAGCTTAATCCACTTCAGAGGTTTCATTAAGATACAGCCACTTTAGCTTCACAATGAATACATTAGCATTTTGTAATCCTAGAGCACTCTGCTCCATGTTTCCAAACACGTAAGATCCCTTAATTCTGTTTTCAACAGAAGACAGCTCAAATGCCCTATATTACCTTCTTGGAAAGAGGCATTCATCTCCTCTTTGTCTTTTGCAATGGATTTTGGTCCATTGATCATAATGACATATGACATCTATTTCAACACTTAGTATGTGGCAAACATGGTGCTTTGTATGTATTATCACTTTTACTGCCTACATCAACAACATTATGATGTAGGTGGTTCTGTTCCCTCAGTTTTGGAGAACAGGAAATGGAGGCACAGAAAGATGACATAACTAGTCTGAGGATGTAGGGAAAAAAAAAAAAAAGCAAACAAAGCTGCTTTTGCTATTCTCTCACTCACAACAATCAATACAGAAGACTTCTGGGACCTCTGGTCACCAGGAAGTGTGTGGAAATTTCTCCCTGCCAACAACCAGTCAATCAGTTCTGCAGTGGCCACCAGCTGCAGAATTGTCCTCGAATTCAATTCAATTCTGACACTCCTGCTACCTGGAGAGAACAGCAGATCCCATAGGTTAAGGGCTCAGGCCCACAGGACTTCTTTCCCCACTTTCAAGGCCAGTAGCAAGCCCCAAGTTGTTTTACCTGTGCTTCTGACTGACCAGCTCTATATTGGGGTTCCCTCGACCCTCTCCTTGGGTTTGACTAATTTGTTAGTACTGGCTCGCAGAACTCAGGAAAAGACTGACTTACTTTTATCAGTACATTTGTATAAAGGATATCACAAAGGATCAAGATGAAGAGATGCACAGGGCAAGGCACCTGCAAAGGAGAATGGAGCTTCGATGCTCTACTGCCCTTCAGGAACCTCCATGTGTTCAGCTATCGGGAAACTCTCTGAACCCAGTCCTTTTGAGCTTTTATCATTATGTAGGTATGATTGATTAAATTTACTAAGTTGGTGAAACCCCTTCCCCAGTGGCTGGGGAGTGTGGCTCAAAGTTCTAACTCTCTGATCCTGCCTTGGTCTTTCCAGTGACCAGCCTAGAAGCTGAAGCTACCCAGCGGCTGCCAGCTAGCAGTCATCTCATTAGCATACAAAAAAGACTATCATGTTGGAATCATGTGAAATCACGTTGGACATTCCAAGGATTTTAGGAGTTGTGTGCCAGGAAACCTGGACAAAGACCAACTATACATTTCACGATGTCAGAACGAGTAAGTGGCAAAGCTGGCACCAAGGCTGGATGACTCCAGAATTCGTGTCCTTAACCACTATGCCTCACTATCTTCCAAAAAAACAAATATTCTAAAGACAATCATAACTGATATACAGGGATTTTTAAATAAATGTAAATATTTAAACAGTGATTTGCCGGGTGTGGTGGCTTACACCTGTAATCCCAGCACTTTGGGAGGCCGAGGCTGGTGGTTCATGAGGTCAGGAGTTCAAGACCAACCTGGCCAAGATGGTGAACCCCCATCTCTACTAAAAATACAAAAATTAGCCGGGTGCGGTGGCAGGCACCTGTAATCCCAGCTACTCAGGAGGCTGGCAGGAGAATCGCTTGAACCCAGGGGGTGGTGGTTGCAGTGAGCCAAGATCGCGCCACTGCACTCCAGCCTGGGTGACAGAGTGAGACTTCATCTCAAAAATAAAATAAAATAAAAATACAGTGATTATTACCAACAATTTTTACCCTGTGGTTTAATTTTGGTCCTTTGATTATTTCAGGTCCTTTGATTATTTCAGGAAAACTTTAAATCTACCATTGGATTAGTAGGAAAAATATTCTGAAAAAACAATCAAGATTACATAGCTAAAATGTAGATGCTTGGACTTACTGTCCTTTTATTTTTCTATAATATGCAGTGCTTCAAGACAGCCTTGATTGTTATAATCAAATATTGTATACAAAACAACACTTTGTAGAGCTGCTGGCTTGTACATGTGCTTGCTGTTTCAAATTACCTGTATTGCACAGGCCATTTTAATGGAAAGAAAATTAGCTTAAAGATAGGAAGTGCCTTATTAGCTCAGTAAAGCCATGGTCTGTTCAATTAAAGTGTTAACAAATATTTCAGAGGAAAGAATGTTTAGGGTCATAAATGAATTCAACACAGTTGTTCCTAAGCACTTACTATTTACCTGGGAATGTGTACTGTGTTTGGTGCTTTGAAGATAAATGTTATTTACAAAACACCTAGCTAATAAAACCTTGCTTCAGAATGCTGTGTTTGACATCAAAGATCTTTATACTGAACTTTATGGTTGACAAGGTTTAATTTCATTTAAGTATGGGATAGGAGAGTCTTACTGGATAAGTCTGTATATAGATATAAGTGACAGGTATCCAAATCACCTGTTCTGACTGTGTTTATAGCTGCATTTCCACCTGTACTGTATAATGTGACCCAGATTTTTTACCCTTTAATGCACCCATATGGCTCTTATTTGTAACTGTGCATCTGTTAAGCCATCTGAAATACTGAGTTTGCATGTCTGTGAAAATTCATTGCTGCTACCAGTCTTCCTTCTTTCCTTTCTTGGTCGTTTGAAGACTCAAGAGAAGTAGTTAATATCAGTCTATTCTTTCAAACCACAAACTTTGGAAACAGATGCACTAGTGTGAAAAAGTTTGTTGACATAACTGCAAGATGGCCTCTTTGTGAAAAGACCAGTTCCCTATGTCTTGTTCAGAATTCAAGAGTTGCCCCTATGTAAACTTGGCTGCAGAAAAATTCAGAAAATGAGCATCTTGGTTAACCTTTTAATGCTTATTCCAAGTTTAAAGGAGATTAAGAAACAAAAAATTGGCTGGACGCGGTGGCTTACGCCTGTAATCCCAGCACTTTGGGAGGCCAAGGCGGGCGGATCATGAGGTCAGGAGTTCGAGACCATCCTGGCTAACACAGTGAAACCCCGTCTCTACTAAAAATAAAATACAAAAAAATTAGCCTGGCATGGTGGCAGGTGCCTGTAATCCCAGCTACTTGGGAGTTTGAGGCAGGAGAATGGTGTGAACCCAGGAGGCGGTGGTTGCAGTGAGCCGAGATCGTGCCACTGCACTCCAGCCTGGGCGACAGAGCGGGACTCCATCTCAAAAAAAAAAAAAAAAATATGTTAGAATCACCTTTCAACTAACATGAACTGCTTTGGGACATGGGTAGTCTTTATAATTAAAGTGACTAAGGATAAAATGCATGGCACAAAACTTGCTTTCTTCATGAGAGTCCACTAAAAATTCCTAGATCCCTAAAGATCAAATTTATGTAATATATCCACTTTAAAAATAACTGCCAATTTTCCGCTTTAAAAAAGATTCTATTTGCTAATGGAAAAAACAAAACTTTGTCTAGCCACCAAAGTAATAAAACTTATTTGATGCAATGGTGCATTTCTCATAGCAAAGTGCCACATAGGATACTAAGGAAAAGTACGTTAATGTGACCAAGGCCCACACACAGCCAATGTACACAGATCTCATTTTCCAATTTTTAGAGTATTTTAAAACTCTGTGTTAAACTTATTTAAGCAAGATACATTTTCATATAAATATATTTTTATATAATTTAGAAACCAGATTTGATCTGGTTCTCTTGCAAATGGACAATAGTCATTCACTTCTGCATCATTCTAGTTGTATAAGCATGGTAGAAAATAGCCCTAAAACCCCTGATTTCAGACAAGCATGATGTGTGCCTATAGTCCCAGCTACTGAGTAGACTGAGTGGGAGGATTGCTTGAGCCCAGGAGTTTGAGACGAGTGTGGGTAACGTAGATGCTGTCTCTTACAAAAAAGTTAAGGCCAGGTATGGTAGCTCACACCTGTAATACCAGCACTTTGGGAGGCTGAGGCGGGTGGATCACCTGAGGTCTGGTGTTCGAGACCAGCCTGGCCAACATGGTGAAACCCCGCCTCTACTAAAAATACAAAAATTAGTTGGGCATGGTGGCATGTGCCTATAATCCCAGCTACTCGGGAGGTTGAGACAGGAGAATCACTTGAACCCGCGAGGTGGAGCTTGCAGTGAGCCGAGATCGTGCCACTGCACTCTAGCCTGGGCAACAAGAGCGAAACTCTGTCAAAAAAAAAAAAAAAGAAGTTAAACACACACACACACACACACACACACACACACACACACACACCAAAAACAAACAAACTGATTTCACTTGAAATATTTAGATAACTAAAACCAAAAGCAAATTAAGTCGTTCTAAGAGGAGTGGTTTCACTCTTCACTATTGCTTTATGTAGACATGTTCTTCACATGAGACATTCTTAATGCTGGGAGAACTGGGACAGATTAGAAGAAGGTGGCTTGTTCTCGGTTTTAACTGGTTAGTTAATTTCTACTGTTAATGGCTTTTTTTTTTTGAGACAAGGTCTCACTCTGTCACCCAAGCTGGAGTGCAGTGGTGCAATCTCAGCTCACTGCCACCTCCACCTAGCAGGCTTAAGCGATCCCCCCGACCTCAGCCTCCAGAGTAGCTGGGACTATAGGCACATGCCACCATGCCAGGCTAATTTTTGTAATTTTTGTAGAGACAGGGTTTCACCAGGTTGCCCAGGCTGGTCTGAAACTCCTAGGCTCAAGTGATCCTCCCACCTCGGCCTCCCAAAGTGCTGGGATTACAGGTATGAGCCACTGCAGTAGGTCTATTAACTGCTTTTAACTGTATTGTATTCGTAACCATTTTCAAACACAGTTAAAGGTATTTTCCTTTATCTACTAAATATATAATTAGTAAAGAAATACAATGTTTCTCAAAATAATGTCTTAAAGTTTTTGCCACTATTCTTTGGACTTTCAATTATATAATCAATATTTACATTAATAAAATATAAATTGCCTACAGAGACTCTAAGGTATGTCTTCTTTTATTTTATTTTATTTTTTTTAAGACGGGGTCTTGTGCTATCACCCAGGCTGGAGTGCAGTGCAGTGGCGCAATCTTGGCTCACTGCAACCTCCGCCTCCCAGGTTCAAGCCATTCTCCTGCCTCAACCTCCTGAGTAGTTGGGATTACAGGCGTGCACCAGCATGCCCAACTAATTTTTGTATTTTTGGTAGAGATGGGGTTTCACCATGTTGGCCAGGCTGATCTCGTACTCCTGACCTCAAGTGATCTGCCCGCCTCAGCCTCCCAAAATACTGGGATTATAGGCGTGAGCCACCACGCCTGGCTAAGGTATGTCTTTAACATATTTATCCCTCTGTCAATAGATGTGAGCACAGACTCTCACATCATGACATATCTGATTAAAATGGACACATTTTGACATTTCTTTAAAGCTTGCATTCAGACTGTAACATTTGCAACACCTCACTGTATTGCTAGCCAACCAAATCTAATCAACAGTTTGACGCCCTGCCTAAATTAAAGAACATTTTAAAAGTTAAAAATTTGTTTGAAGTGTAAGTGTATTTGGGGGTTAATGTAGATAACACATAAAGTGAAGCCTCAATCAAATTAAAACAATATAATAGACTGTTTGGCAATGAGCTTGTTCACAGTAACTCCCCACTGTGCAAAGCTCTGTCTATGCAGCATCTCATTTAATCCCCATCGCAACTCAGTGCAGTAAATTTTGCATTTCCATTGCATAGTTGAGGAAAATGAGATTAAGGGAGAATGAAATGTCTTGCCCCAAATCACAAAGTTAGTAAATGGGAGAGTCATATTCTGTCTCAGGGCTGTCTACCTCCAAAGTCCACTACCTGTTAATATTATTCTCATTTGCATTGACCACCACGGTCTTACATCTTTCTTTTCCACATTTTAGGTTATGCTGGAAAAGCACAGAGAAATTTAGTCGCAGTGTGTATTAGGGACTCACCTGTTCTCCAGTGGAGATTACATATAACTATCCCACATCCACCACAGATCTGGTGGCCTGGATAATTTATCATCCAAACCTGGACACTTGAGAGGGTGCTTTTTACCAGAAAAAGAGGCACAAACTAGGATTTTCCAGAGCAGAATGGAACATATAAGATTACCCCATATAAAGCAGTGGTCTCAGGGAAGGCATGCCTTATCAGAACTTGTATGGAGGGGGTTGAAATACCCCATCCTGGGCTACCGTTAAAACACTCAAAGCCATCAAGTGCAATGGCTCGCATCTGTAGGCCAAACTACTCTGGAGGCTGAGGTGGGAGGATGGCTTGAGGCTAGGAGTTCAGGGCTGTGCTGAGCCATGATCTTACCACTATACTCCAGCCTGGGCTACAGAATGAGACCCCATCTCTAACAACAACAACAAATACTCAAAGTCACAGGTCAGATTTCTGCTTTGCTTTCAAGCTACCCAGCCTCAGCCCACCCCTTTTAGCCACTCCTTCTAGAAGTGTTTCCTCACCTACCCCATCACTGGTCTAGAATTATGAAGAGCATTTGTGTAAGCATTCATCCACCTGTGAATTAACCAAAAGAATAGGCCATTTTACTAACCATTTATTAATATTCAGTCTCCAAGATCAGAGAAGGGGTCGGAGTTGATCAAATATGTTGAGGCACAAAAGTCTGGATTATCTCCTGCATCTGGTAAAGTCTAAAGCTGGTGCTGAAAATTCAGTAAAGCCAGGTACGGTGGCTCATGCCTATAATCCCGGCACTTTGGGAGGCCGAGGCGCATGGATCCCCTGAGGTTAGGAGTTTGAGACCAGCCTGGCCAACATGGTGAAACCCCATCTCTACTAAAAACACAAAATTAGCCGGGCATGGTGGCACACATCTATTATCCCAGCTACTCGGGAGGCCGAGGCAGGAGAATCACTTGAACCCAGGAGGTAGAGGTTGCAGTGAGCAGAGATTGCGCCATTGCACTCCAGACTGGGTGACAAGAGCAACACACCATCTCAAAAAAAAAAAAAAAAAAAAGGAAAAAAAGGAAAGGAAATTCAGTAAAGCAACACTGTGGAGGGAACAGGTAGTTCCCTAAATAATGCCACCTAAGAATTCTTCATGTTGAACACATTTTTCAGCATTACAGATGGTAACGATTACTACTTGAGGGTCATGTGCCAAGAGAGAAGTAATGTAACCCTTCTTTGCAACATTTCAGGTCTGACTCTCCTAAATAAAACTGAGAATTAATCAATTCTCAAGCCATGGTGCATTTCATTTTTACTTCCTCCAATAAACTGGAAAGTGTACCTGATAGTGGCATTATAACCATGTTATAACATTTACACTTCTTAAATCTAATTAATAAGTGTAATTTGCAGTTTATCAGAAGGCTATAGGGATATTATTGCTAGTGTTTTGAGAAATATAAGCTGTATTACTCCTGCACCAATCAGTAGGTATTGCCAAATAAATTTCAAGGTCATGTAACTGAACATTAATATTGAACACAGTTTAGTTTTAAATTACAATGGGATTAAATTTCATCTTACAACTTCTATGTAGATAAATTCAATAATGTTTTAGTTTTAAGGTTGGAAGACAGATGCAAGGGGGACAAACATAGGAAAATTAAGGATCATTGAGCTATTTTTAACACTTTCAAATTTAGGTTGGCAGCTGTTGTTAGTGTCAGGACTTAAATAACTTTGCTTTGTTAAAAAATAAATTCACAACATATGAATTTCAGCATGTTGTGAATTTATTGTTTGTGCTTATTAGGGAAAGATACTTCAGTTGAAAAAATAAGAAATTCTCCAGGGTATAAAAAAACCATCCTTGTTAGTAGACAAGTGATCATAGTCTTATCAAGACATCCATCCTCAGCCGGTTGTTGTGGCTTATGCCTGTAACCCCAGCACTTTGGAAGGCTGAGGCAGAAGGATTGCTTGAGTCCAGGAGTTCAAGACCAGCCTGGGCAACATGTTGAAACCCCATCTCTACAAAAATTTTAAAAATCAGCTGGGGATGGTGGTGCATGCCTGTGTTTCCAGCTACGCAGGAGGCTGAGGCAGTAGGATCACCCTGGGTGACAGAGTAAGACCTGTTTCAAAAAAAAAAAAAATCCTCAGAAACTTCTGATCTTCTTAATTTAACCAACTTTTACAGTAAAACCAGTCTTCTTGCTAATGAAATGAAGGAATTGCATTAGACTGGGTCTTAAATTCTTAAATTATGTTATCTTTGGAATTATAAACCCAGGCCTGGGAGAGACATTCTGAGACCTTTTAATTCCCCCTTCAAACTCGATAAATGCATGCCTATCTAGTGTGGAGAAAGAAACCCATCTATTATACAGAAAAAAAAATCTTTCAGACTACCAAAGGAAATACCCCCACTTTTCTTGTTAAGTACCCAGTTAATTATTTAAAGACACATTTGCTTTTTATCAACTGAAATTCCTCTCCTCTCCCTTTAGACTAGGGACCTCAAGGGTTGTAGGGTGTCCTTAAAGCCAGGAGGAGGCAATAAGGCTGGTACAGTATTTGAGGATGGCCTTAAAGACCAGCCTGTGGAAAAACTGATCTAGGAACCCCTGGTTAAAGATGGCAGACTGGGCCAGGTGCGGTGGCTCAAGCCTGTAATACCAGCACTTTGGGAAGCCAAGATGGGCGGATCACGAGGTCAGGAGATCAAGACCATCCTGGCTAACACGGTGAAACCCCATCTCTACTAAAAATACAAAAAACTAGCTGGGCGTGGTGGCGGGCGCCTGTAGTCCCAGCTACTCAGGAGGCTGAGGCAGGAGAATGGCATGAACCTGGGAGGCAGAGGTTGCAGTGAGCTGAGATCATGCCACTGCACTCCAACCTGGGCTACAGAGCAAGACTCTGTCTCAAAAAAAAAAAAAAAAAAAAAAAATGGCAGACTGAGTACACACATTTAGTTCTGTCCCCTTGCAAAATTTCATTAAAGTGACAGTAAAAGTATTTTTAAAAAAGAAGTAACCCACAAAGATGAATAAAATGGGAAAGAAGAAAATAACAAAACTTTGGAATCTGAAAACAGGATAATTAGCAGCTAATTTAGGAGACTCAAAGAGGCAGATCCTAATCTGGAAGTACAGATTGAGAAGCAAGTTGAGAAGCAATCTGAGTTATTCCCTAGAACTTCCAAAAGGCTCAAGAAGGTTTATCCTTTGTCAAGGGTGGAACAGAGGTTCTCTACACTATGAAACACAGGCACAGTTGAGGGAGAGGGTACCTAAACAAAACCAAAAGAATCAGGTAACAGACCTCAACTTGGCTGCCACATCATTCAGCCAGGTATCACCCACCCCATAGGCAGGAGATGGGAAAAGTATTATCTGAAGAATCTGGTTAGCCAAAGGCAAGGGGTGGGGAGAGGGGGTGTGGGTGCATGCGGTGAGAACAAAGCTAAGAATTCTGACTTTGGGGGTTTCCCAAGGAAACGGCCCAACCTAGATCATCTTAGTCTAGATGACAGAGTCAAAAACCTCCCTTTCCCTGTCCTCATCCTCCCAAACACAGACAGATGGCTTCCAGTAGCTTTTTAGTATCTCACTATTAAATATGAACAGGTAGATGAGGATGAACAGAGAGAGAGAAACAAAGATAATAACAGTTAAAACAGATACAAAGGAGAACACTTAAAATATACATATCATTGATATTGTCTGAGAAAGAAGAGATACCCTGTAAACAAGAACAGGATGCTACAAAAAAGGAACCTTCATGGACACAGGAACTCTTGGATATTAAAAATATGAAAGAAGAAGCCAGGCACGGTGGCTCACGCCTGTAATACCAGCACTTTGGGAGGCCGAGGCAGGCGGATCACGAGGTCAGGAGATCGAGACCATCCTGGCTAACATGATTGAACCCCGTCTCTACTAAAAAATACAAAAACTTAGCCAGGCGTGGTGGTGGGCACCTGTAGTCCCAGCTACTCGGGAGGCTGAGGCAGGAGAATGGCATGAACCCGGGAGGTGGGGCTTGCAGTGAGCCGAGATTGCACCACTGCACTCCAGCCTGAGCGACAGAGCGAGACTCTGTCTCAAAAAAAAAAGTGAAAGAAGAAATGGAAGGCCATTTGCTAGAAGTCTTGGAAGCTACAGTATAGGAAATTGCCTAGAAAGTAAAAACACCAAAGAAATGCAAAATCGGAGAGAAAAGATGAGAAAATTTGAAGTCCAGTCCAGGGATCCAGTATCTAAATAGCAGGAGAAAAATGGAAGAAAGAATGTCATCAAATAAATAATTACAGAAAATTTCCTGAACAGAAGGACATGAATTTCTGGATTTAAAGGCTTACCAAGTACTGTGTACAGTGTTTGAAAGTAGATTCATACCAATGTACATCATCAGGTAATTTTAGAATACTGGAACATAAAAGGTAGGTTCTACAGCCTTTTAGAGAGGAAGAAAACAAGTTCTCATGTGAAGGATGAAAATCATAATGGCAATACTGGAAGCCAGAGGATAGCAGAGCAGAACCCTCAAAGTTCTAAAGAGAAATCAGTTTTAGCTTAGAATTCAGGAGTCCACCAAAGTATCATTTGAGGTTAAGTATAGAAAAATATATTTTCAGATATGTAAGCTTTCAACAATTTTACCTTCCATGAAAAGGTACATGGGATAGAGTGTGGGTAGAAGTTAACAGATAATGCCTTAGGGGCTGGGCACGGTGGCTCACGTCTGTAATCCCCAGCACTTTGGGAGACGGGTGGATCACCCGAGGTCAGGAGTTCGAGACCAGCCTGGCCAACTTGGTGAAACTCCGTCTCTACTAAATACAAAAATTAGTCGGGCGTGGTGGCAGACACCTGTAATCCCAGCTACTTGGGAGGCTGAGGCAGGAGAATCGCTTGAACCTGGGAGGCGAAGGTTGCAGTGAGCCAGGATGGCACCATTGCACTCCAGCCTGGGCAATAAGAGCGAAATTCCATCTCAAAAAAAAAAAAAAAATAGATAATGCCTTAGAGCCAAGTGTGGTGGCTCATGCCTATGCCTATAATCCCAGCAGTTTGGGAGGCCAAGGTGGGCGGATCACTTGAGGACAGGAGTTGGAAACTAGCCCGCCCAACATGATGCAAACCCATCTCCACTGAAAAATAGAAAAGTTAGTCAGGCGTGGTGGCTTGCACCCAGGTACTCAGGAAGCTAAGGCAGGAAAATTCCTTGAACCTGGGAGGCGGAAGTTGCAGTGCCAAGATCATGCCACCGCACTCCTACCTGGGGACAGAGCAAGACTCCATCTCAAAAAATATAGATAGATAGATAGATAGATAGATAGATAGATAGATAGATAGATAGATAGAGCGAGCCTTAAAAAAAGTTAGAGTAGTAAGATCAGTATGTTATCTAGAGAAATGGAGATAAATACTAAAAGAATCAACTAACAGAGGGGAAGCAGAAAAGGGAAGAAACTGAGAACTGCTGTTTCTCAAAACAAGCCTTTTAGGACTGTTTGGTTTTTAAACGATGTGCTTGTATAATTGTAAAAAAAAATTAGGTTTAAAAAAGAAAAAATGGAATAGGTCACGAGGGGCAAACAAACTTTCTTTTCATTTTTGTTTGATAATAAGGATCTTTCAATCTGACAAGCCCTTTGACAGCATATAATGGATAAGTGTTCAGATTTAATTTTAGCTCATCAGCCTTTGAGTTTCCCAAGGTGTTTCTGTTGGTCTGCATGCATTAGTGAAATCATTCTTTTGTAGCAGTAATTAAGTTATATTTAGATAACTATTTCTTATGGGGACACTGACAAGAGATCCACAGGAAAAACAAAAAAAAAGATGATGATCTTTCTTCTTCCACTGAAGAACCATGAGATAAGAGAACTAGCAGGTGGAGGTTTAATCATTTTCTGACACACAAGCATACACAGAGGAAAGTATGAAATGCAGAAAATAAAAGGATTTTAAATCCCAGAATAGAAGACATAGTTTCAGTTGCTGCAACTGAAACTAATTGTTTTTATTAGCTCATTAATGTTTCATGATTTGGGGATGTATTTGTATACCATACTGTTGGACTATTTTATTGCAATGATGATGCCTCAAAGGATTTTGAAAAGCACCAAATGAATTTTGAGATGGTTATAGTCTTGGGGCTATTGCATGTACTAAACTGAATAGCTTCCTAATATACAATGAGATTGTATCCATGTTTTATTGTATAATATCTTTTTTGTTGTTGTTTTTTGGAGGCAGAGTTTCACTCTTGTCGCCCAGGCTGGAGTGCAATAGTGCAATCTTGGCTCACTGTAACCTCCGCCTCCTGGGTTCAAGCAGTTCTCCTGCCTCAGCTTCCCAAGTAGCTGGGATTACAAGCATGCACCACCACGCCTGGCTAATTTTTTGTATTTTTAGTAGAGACGAGGTTTCACCATGTTGGCCAGGCTGGTCTCAAAACCCTGGCCTCAAGTGATCTACCTGCCTTGGCCTTCCAAAGTGCTGGGATTGCAGGTTATATAATAGGCTGCACCCAGCCTATTATATAATAATTTTTTAAAGGAGACACCAAAACTTTAAAAAGAGAGAGACATAGGGGACAGCATTGAAGATATGTAAATAGAGGGAGTAGACAGTGAATTAATTAAGGGCAAAGAGCAGCTCTTATTCATTTTTTTTTTTCCAGCCCAACAGCATCTTGCTATGTTGCCCAGGCTGGAATGCAGCAGCTATTCACGGGCATTATCATAGCACGCTGCAGCCTAGAACTCCTGGATTCAAGCACTTCTTCTGCCTCAGCCTCCTGAGTAGCTGGGACTACAAGAGTGCCCAGCTGTATTCATTTAACAAATATTAATTGAGTACCTACTATGCACCAGGTATTGGAGCTACATCAGTGAACAAAATGGATAGAGATCCTTACCTATGTAGAGCTTGCATTCTAGTGGGGTGGGAGGTGAAGAAAGGGACCAAACAAAATGATGACAGCCTGGGCTGCGGTGGCTCACCCCTGTAATCCCAGTGCTTTGGGATGCCGAGGGGGGCGGATCACCTGAAGTCAGGAGTTCGACACCAGCCTGACCAACATGGTGAAACCCCCTTTCTACTAAAAATACAAAAATTAGCCAGGCATGGTGGCAGGCGCCTGTAATGTTACTCGGGAGGTTGAGGCAAGAGAATTGCTTGAACCCAGGAGGTGAAGGCTGCAGTGAGCCAAGATGGTGCCATTGCACTCCAGCCTAGGCAACAAGAGTGAAACTACATATAAAAATAACAATAATAATAATAATAATAATAATGCCTTAGGGCAAAGTGGGCTCTAAGGCATTGGGATGCCATCTTGGATTTTCATAGCTTGAGAAGAGAAGTCAATGCCTGACTTCCAAACTTCAAAAGAGAGGCTGACTCTCTAGTTAGGGCCAAAATCAGCCGAACGTGGTGGCACATGCCTGTAATGCCAGCTGCTTGGGAGGCTGAGGCAAGAGAATCATTTGAACCCGGGAGGCAGAGGTTGCAGTGAGCCGAGATCACACCACTGCACTCCAGCCTGGGCAACAGAGTGAGACTCCATCCCCCACAAAAAACAAAATGATTACATACAATACATACTATGTCAGATAGAAATCAGTGCTATGAAGATAAATAACTCAGGAAAGAGAGATGAAGAATGTGGAATAGGGAGAGGGCAGGGGATACAGTTTTAAATAAGGTAGACACATAATAGGCACACTAAAATGCTTGCTGAAATTATTACTTGATAAAAACACAATGTCCAGCTGGGCACGGTGCCTCATGCCTGTAATCCCCGCACTTTGGGAGGCCAAGGCGGGTGGATCGCTTTTAAGGTCAGCAGTTCAAGACCAGCCTGTCCAACATGGTGAAACCCTGTCTCTACAAAAAATACAAAAAAAATTAGCTGGGCATGGTGCCGCACACCTGTAGTCCCAGCTACTCAGGAGGCTGAGGCACAAGAATTGCTTGAACCTGGGAGGCAGAGGTTGCAGTGAACTAAGATCACGCCACTGCACTCCATCCTGGGTGACAGAGCAAGATTCTGTCTCCAAAAAAACCAAAACACATATCTGTCCATATCTGGAAACTTTGTCTGAACCCTATCTTTTTTTTTTGTAATGGGACCATCCTTTGGGGCATTCAGGCACATCACTGGAGCTGAAGCAAGGACAAGAACCTGGAAAGAACTAGGGAAGGTTGCTTGAATAGCACAACCCCAGAGGGGTAGAATGATGGTGTAAGGGGAGTCAGATGCAGATCACGGCCTCACAGTCCTCACAGTCCATTAGTCCTTAGCAAAGCCAAGCTCTTTGCAAAATACAAAAGATTCCCTATAATAATGGGAGACTGTTTCCTTGTTTTTTCAAGCATTCTTTGCATCCTAGAAATGTACAGAGCACAATATCTAGCTTTGAGAAGTAAAGAAAACCTTTCAAGTAAACCTTTGTTCCAGAAGAGATCAAGCTGTTCCCTATTCATCCCCTGCTTCCAGCATCTAGGTGGCTGGGTTTCTTGGAAATAATACTCTTTATACATGTCTCTAATACACATCTCCAAGCAAGGGCTAGGAAAACTCAAGGGTAAGCCTTCAATAATTTTCACAGACATTGGATTTCCATACCCCCCTCTCCTGTGGAACCTGATTTGGGAAAGTAGGTTTTCATTTTTAATTTTCAGGGAAGTTAAACAAACAAGGCCAATGGATCAGAGCACCCACCACAAGGCCAGACCCTCAGAGGAAATTCAATAAATACTACTTTCTGTTAATCTCATACCTGGAGGCTTTCTCTTTGCATCCTGCAAGCCAGTATAGTCTTTTATTCTTATTTTTATCCACATCTGCAAAATTCATGTGGACACCTGCAGATTACTCTGGGTTATCTGCAGACATACTTCTTTCTTTCCCTCTCTCTAATTACGTGCTAAGGATGCAGCCCCTGAAGCTCAACTTCCATTTCTCCAGCAGTCTCCTCACCCTTGTAGAATAATGAGACCCTGTCTTTTGAGAGTGCAGTGTTTAAAGTAAATGGTGTTTAAACTGAAGTTTCCCTCTGGTTTTATTGGTAAAGACAGAATCCTTGACTGCCCTGCAGGCACAGTGCCCTTGACTCTTCTGGCTGGTTTTATTGTGGGAGAGCTGTTGGAACCTGTGTGTAAACATCACAGTGAGGGGCACACCCAGGGCATCCCCTGTGCTGGGCCTGCTTCTTTTGAAGTGTCTGGTGATTGTACCATTGTCATGCCAGTTGGAGGAGTCCTTTTGTTTTACAATGGCAAAGCTCTGAAGAGCCAGCTGATAAGACTTGGGACCCTGGTGTGAAACTGACCCTTTGAACTAGGAAGAACCTTTTCAGATAAGCAAGCCTTGGCATTTTTATCACACAACTTTTTATTAGAGCTTTTAACAGAGCAGGTTAGTGTCCTTACTAGGCACATACATAAAGG
Organism: Homo sapiens; assembly: GCF_000001405.40. NCBI lineage: Eukaryota > Metazoa > Chordata > Mammalia > Primates > Hominidae > Homo > Homo sapiens. The sequence continues at coordinate 42,510,792 of NC_000012.12, read as the reverse complement.
TTTTTCAAGCTCTTCCGTAATAACACAGACATAGGACATAGCCTCCATTTTTACGAAGATGCAAACCTTCCAATTGCCCATCTCAATAAAGATCTTTGGGAAAATAGCATCAATTTTGGGAATTCATTGATAGTTATTCATTAAAAAAGATTAATTATACCAGGAATAAAATACAAATGAAAGCCAATTAAAAACCTTTAAAAAAAAAGTTATGCTTTCTCCCTTAAAAATGCTCTTTGTTTGTTTGTTTTTCAAAATTTAATCAAGACAGGGTCTTGCTATGTTGCCCAGGTTGGTCCTCAAACTCCTGGCCTTAAGCAGTTCTCCCACCTTGGCCTCCCAAAGTGCTGGGATTGCCCACATAAGCCACTGTGCCCAGACTTTAAAAATTGTCTTAATAGCCGAGCACAGTGGCTCACACCTGTAATCCCAGCACTTTGGGAGGCAGAGGCGGGTGGATCACAAGATCAGGAGATCAAGACCATCCTGGCTAACATGGTGAAACCCCATCTCTACTAAAAATACAAAAAATTAGCCGGGCCTGGTGGCGGGCGCCTGTAGTCCCAGCTACTCAGGAAGCTGAGGCAGGAGAATGGCGTGAACCCAGGAGGCGGAGCTTGCAGTGAGCAGAGATGGCGCCACTGCACTCCAGCCTGGGCGACAGAGGGAGACTCCGTCTCAAAAAATAAAAAAATTGTCTTAATAATCTTTTTTTTTTTTGAGACAGAGTCTCGCTCTGTCACCCAGGCTGGAGTGCAGTGGCATGATCTTGGCTCACTGCAGTCTCCACCTTGCGGGTTCAAGCAATTCTCCTGCATCAGCCTCCTGAGTAGCTAGGATTCCAAGTGTGTGCCAACATTCCTGGCTAATTTTTGTATTCTTAGTAGAGACAGGGTTTCACCATGTTGGCCAGGCTGGTCTCGAACTCCTGGCCTCATGATCCGCCTGCCTCAGCCTTCCAAAGTGCTGGGATTACAGGTGTGAGCCACCTCGCCGGGCCATGATTTTGATAATCTTTTGGACAAATTGACATGAGCTATTTCTTAGTAAAGGCCATTAGTAGAGCAGTAAGTAGAAAAATATAGTAAGTGGTAGTCTTATATTATTATTATTATTGTTATTAAGGACGAGGTCTTGCTATGTTGCCCAAGCTGGTCATTCAGTCATTCAGGTACTCAACAAACCTTTGTCCAGTTCCTTCTATGTGTTGCTGCACTGAGCATGGTGCTCTGGTTCTCCATCCTCCAAAGTCGTCCCACCCAGCAGAGACCACAGACATCAAACAGACAACTAAAATAAAGGGTGAGCAGAATAAGGCAGGGAAGTGATGGTGCTGTGGGAGCATCCTTTTTGATATGGAAAGACCCTTGGAACTTAATTCTGGAGTGTGCTTTAAAGGAAGAATTTTATTTTCCTTTTTCAATAGTTCTTTGAGAGTTTCCATGTTTTATATTCAATTTTGCTTTCCAACTTTTCCTTCATGTTAGCCTAAATGCGTCTCTAGGCAGTTTCCCAAAATAGAATTTTCCATTTCAGACTAAGGAACTACAGATGAGATCGAGAATTTAGGGTAAATGCCTTAGCACTTGCATTTGAAGTTTAATACTGTCTAAACCCCACGGAGACAAAAAGTCCTTGTGTGGCTGCTCAGACTGTCAGGCCCATCACCGGCTGTGGTCTCCTCTGCGAGTACAGGGCCCAGAAGACTGGCAGGCTGCTGTTCTCAAAGGAACCACATGCAATTGTTTCTACTTCATCACTCTGGGGTGGAGCAACAGGTTCTAAAATAGCTTTTGGGTTTAAACTGGCCCCTATATATACAACTGACCTTTATTCCTAGGGTTTATAAACTGAAGGAATCAGAGAATTATAGGATTTCATAGCCAAAAGAACTTAGAGATCATCTGCCGCTGTGTAGATGAGAAACTGAGGTCCCCAGGGTAAAGGTCTTCTAGCCAGTTAGTGGTAGAAGCAGAACTACAGTGACAAGCCCTGTTCGTCTCCATTCCAGAATCAGAATAGAGCGCCACAATCTCCAAGCACCCTGAAAGTGCATCCCTCTCCCCTTCTTCCTTTCCACTGCTTCTGGTACCTGTCTGCCCACCTGTGTCTAAAGCCAGGCAATTTTGAAATACTTTCTATGTGTTCAACCTAAAGCAAATTTCTTTTCATATATATATGTATTTTTTCTTTTACCTCTAAGAAATAAAGCTATTTATGAAGCAGTTCCTTATCAATGAGTCCTGTTGATGAATTTTACATTTCTAATTTGGTGTATGTTATATACCCGTGTATAAAACAGTTGAGCCCAGACCAATAAATGTTATCCTGAGAACTGCAGTAGGGATTTACAGATTTATTACCACTTGCCTTCTTTTTTTCTTAAACAGTAGCTCACTTGTGAGAATTACATTGCACATAATGTTCAGGCCTACTTGAATTTTAAGCCAAAAAAGTTTAAAGTAATGGTATAGGATATTCTAATAGGAAGGGATGTTGTGCTAAGGTTATTGCCGATATAATAAAGCTCCTAGTGCCTTGAAGCAGTATGAGCGTGGAGGATCCTTTATAAAAAATACTTAGTCTAAGGCCAACATTTCACCCCCTTTCCCTTTTCCTGTTCCCCCCTCCTTCTCAAAGCCACATTCTCTATTCTTTCCATTTTCCACTAGAGCCCTTATAAAAGAATTATCTTTTCATGAGTTCTTAAAAATATAAAAATGGTATCTAAATCGCCATTGAAATATATGTTCACTATTGCTTGTTTGTGTAGTTAACTTTTATAAAACCCCAAAAAGGGCAAATTGATGGATTAATCCAAATGAGATTGACATCGTTGCATTTTATATCCTGATAAAATCACACAGGAACAGGAGCTATAATCTTATACTGTGTATCCTCCAATATGTGTTTATCTTATTCTCTGGCTAATGAGGAAAAATTAACATTGTCAATACTGCGATTGAAGCTGGAGATAAGCTTATGTCTAGTCTATCACATGACTGACTATAGTCATCTTCTGTTTCTCTGCATTAAATCAACACAGATGCTTTGGCTTTATAAATGTCAGTCAACATCATTTAGGCTCTGCCGCCTGCTCAGTGCAATGCAACCTTCATTGACTGTATGATGGGGAATGGAGGTTAGTTCCTCCAGAAGAATTCTTCCTTACAATAATGTGATCATAACAGCTCAAAAAAAAGTTCTTCCATATAATAAATCAGAAGACTGAGCAAGTGAAAAGCTATAGAACTGGTGCAAGGAGAAAGGAATAATGTTACAACAGAGAGGAGCAAGAGATACAATTGTGAACAGATGGAATCATTTGTCAGTGGTCACTTTAGGGCAAATAACAAGTTGTGGTGTCCCAGTGAGTTAGGGTATGTTTAGTTCAAAAGGGTTCAAAACCCTTTCCATCTTTTGTCTGTAAGAGTCATTGTTTTAATTGTTTTTCTGCTTTGTCTACACAACTTGATCTGCTTAGTATTTTCAGTAACTATCCCCTATCCCCCAAATGACACGTGATCTGCCTGCTATGTGTCAGTCCGTGTGCCGGAACACTAATGAACACTCAGAACGCAGGGAGACAGCAGCTGCCCAGCAGCCTTCAAGTTTCAACAGCCCTACCCAGAAGGACAGCAGTTAATTTACATCCAGGGGAGCAGCACTCACCTCAAAAGCTTCATGAACATACAGCTTTTGCATAAGAAATGTGTTGAAATTGCAGAAACTATGCATAATTAAAATTAAGCCTTGCATGTCCCCCAAATAATGGGTTTAGATATTAGATGATGAAATGGCCTTGATTTCTATATTTCTCATTTTGTTTTTCTAACCCCTCCTACAAACATTTTAGAGAAACCATAATATTCAAAGGTTTTGTGGCTCAAAACCAGTACCACAAGCTATGCCAAAAGAACATGGCCAGGTGCGGTGGCTCACACCTGTAATCCCAACACTTTAGGAGGTCGAGGCGGGTAGATCACAAGGTCAGAAGTTCAAGACCAGCCTGGCCAAGATGGTGAAACACCGTCTCTACTAAAAATACAAAAATTAGCCGGGCATGGTGGTGGGTACCTATAATCCCAGCTGCTCAGGGCTGAGGTAGAGAGTTGCTTGAACCCGGGAGGCAGAGATTGCAGTGAGCCAAGATCGTGCCACTGCACTCCAGCCTGGGCGACAGAGTGAGACTGTCTCAAAAAAAAAAAAAAAAAAAAAAAAAAAAGAACACTATTGAGCTGGGCGCGGTGGCTCACGTCTGTAATCCCAACACTTTGGGAGGCCGAGGTGGGTGGGTCACCTGGGGTCAGGAGTTCAAGACCACACTGGCCAACATGGTGAAACCTCATCTCTATTAAAAATGCAAAAATTAGCTGGGAGTGGTGGTGGGTGCCTATAATCCCAGCCACTTAGGAGGCAGAGGCAGAAGAATCGCTTGAACCCAGGAGGCAGAGTTTTCAGTGAACCCAGATCACGCCATTGCACTGCAGCCTAGGCAACAGAGAGAGACTCCATCTCAAAAAAAAAAAAAAAGAAAGAAAGAAAAAAGAACATTTTTTACTTATATAATTAATGAAGTTAACTTTCATTTGAGAAAGACATCTTAGCTCAGATGGGTCAAATCCCTAAAATCACTTCCCCTTCGGAACTTTTCATAAAAGTCCTGAGAGTCACTCAGCAACATGGGTGCTTGATACGCAACCTTGAAGACTTTGCGATGTCCGGGTAGAATTTCGCCTTAACCAACTAATGAATGAAAACTTAAAATAACTTTTTGTTCTTATTCCACAACGTTACCACTTTTTTAGGAGAGCTGGTAACCAAAGTGAATGATGTCTGTAGACCAGTAGTTCCTACACCTAGGTACAAATTGCAGTTATCTATGGAGACTACATTAAATGCAAATTTCTGGATCCTAATTCAGAGTTACTGAGTCAAAATCTGTAGGGATATGATTGAGGCTTCTGTGTAGTTTAAGAGGCTTTCCAGGTGATTCTTACATTGCCAGTCCACTCAGCATCAATTGCTGTTGGAGCACAACTAACAAATGCAACCTGGGCCGGGCTCAGTGGCTTACACCTGTAATCCCAGTATTTTGGGAGGCTGAGGCAGGTGGATAACCTGAGGTCAGGAGTTTCAGACCAGCCTGACCAATATAGTGAAACCCTATCTCTACTAAAAATACAAAAATTAGCTGGACATGGTGGTGCGTGCCTGTAGTCACACCTACTCTGGAGGCTGAGACAGGAGAATTGCTTGAATCCAGAAGGCAGAGGTTGCAGTGAGCCGAGATCACACCACTGCACTCCAGCCTGGGCAACAGAGTGAGACTCTGTCTCAAAACAAAAACAAAAACAAAAAAACAAAGGCAACCTAATTCCCATGCATCATATCTAATAGCAAGTGCTGTTGCCTTATTCTACAAATAGAATGTTTTAATCCATTTAAATGACATTTTTAGAATACCTGTGGAGGACAAAACTGTTCCACCTTTGCTGAATTACTGGCCTCCAGCCCAAACACTCACACAAATCCAGATCCATCTACCCACACAGATACATGGCCAAGGGGTGGACCCTTTGCAATCATAATGGATCCTAACCCCAGAACTGTGAAGTAGCCGTGTTTTTGTTGTTTTTTGTTTTTTGTTTTTTGAGATGGAGTCTCACTCTGTTGCCCAGGCTGGAGTGCAGTGGCACAGTCTAGGCTCACTGCAACCTCCACCTCCTGGGTTCAAGTGATTCTCCTGCCTCAGCCTCCGAGTAGCTGGGTCTACAGGTGCCCGCCACCACGCTCGGCTAATTTTTGTATTTTTAGTAGAGACCGGGTTTCATCATGTTGGTCAGGCTGATCTCAAACCCCTGACCTGGTGATCCACCCGCCTTAGCCTCCCAAAGTGCTAGATTACAGGCATGAGTGACCGTGCCCAGCTAAGTGACCATGTTTTAACCTTACAGAACAATGAGCCATAAAGTCCTGTCTGTCTGCAACGAGAGAAAAATAAAGTGTTAAACCAGAAATTAGCAGAGACAGGAATGGAGAAAGAATGCTGTCTAAATGTCCGGGGGTTTTCCATTTCTGAATTATAGCCATTTTTTGAAGCTCAGCTGCATTCCCGCCCTTGTGTTAGCCTGAGACACCTCTGTATCCTTCCAATGAATTATTGCCCCTCACCATTTTCCCCCTAAGTTACTTTGGTTTCTGTTACTTACAGCCACAGAGCACTAACTAATACAAATCTCATTCAGCAGTTTCAACAAAACTCATTTTACATCAACAGTAGCTCCCTCATACACCTACTAAGCTTGGGTGCTGCAAAAGGAGAGAAGCAACACATTTGTAGAGTCAGTTCCAGAGCAACGCTAGTTCCGTGCAGATTTTTCTGCCCACTAAATGTGCTTTTTGGAGGCAGGTATTCTTTGATTCCCCAGTCAGAGTATTTTCCTTAAAGTCACTTGAATTATAACTAAGCAGTTTCCCTGTACTCTGCCCACCAAATATTCCTGAGTAAGAAGTTTCTTTTCTTGGCACCATGCCCAGGACTCACATCCAGGAGTGGTGCCTCTGAGCCTTTTCTGGCCTCTATTTTCAGAAATCTGCAATCAACTGCTAACATCCCCTGCTTGTTACGGGTCCTCACGTTTTATGATACAGAATTTTCCTCAGACCTCGCTCTTCTTCATATCTCATTTTCCTCCCTTTTTTAAACCATCCACAGAGTTGATATTCTGGTATCATTTAGAACTTCTAAAATCCACATATGATTTTTGTGAGGAAGTGGGTTTTTGATTCTGTTTTTTTGCCACAGACCTAGAATTTAAGCTAAAGTTGGTCTCAAACCACTTTTCCCCAAGAATTCCCTTTGCTACTTAACTAAATAACCAGAACCCGCTTTTTGAATTATAGGCAGATTCATGATGGGAGGACACTGGGAGGAATTTCGGGAGATTACAGGAACCTCAGGTGTGACCTAGCATTCATCCCTTTATTAAGTGAGTTGGAAAAGGTATAAAGAAGGTGAGGAGGTAAATCAGATTCCCATAGCTGAGAATTACCCCAATGGCTAGGGATATTCATATATGAATTATTTTTGTGCATTCACCCTTCTATGACTATAAGACTCAGAAGAGAAATCAGCTTTCTTAATTTTTACTTTAGTGCTTTCCTTAGAACAAGTATTGAAGTCAGTGGCTCTTGTTTGTTTTGTGTGTGTATGTTACACTGAAGAGCTCAAATAGACCATCTCTCATGATCATTCTGTAAGGTCTGTGTTCTTTTCTCAGTAGTTACTTTAGTTAAGATTTGTATTGTGATAGTCTATTTTGGGAAAATTCCGGGGATTTTAGTGTGTCTTAATTTCTTTACTACCCAGCACTGCAAAGAATCTATCCCCTTGTGTACAATGAGTGTGCGGGAAGTCTGGACATGCTCATCCCAGGTGGGAGTAACTAAGCCCAGGACTTTACTAGATAAGTAACAGGTGTGAAATGTTGTCAAAAGGCTCTTCTCTTTGACAGCTGAATTGAGCCATAAAATTTTTAAATAATTTATGCAAGTCTGCAGGAGCCCAGATATAGATTGTTAATCCAAGGCTCAGAATGCACAAGTGTTGATTTCACAGTGAAATGCTTAAAAGTTAATTTTTGTATTGCGTCTCTTATCTTTGGCCTAGGTGAAAATATTCAGATTGCCCCACAAGTCCAAATTGATTTAGTAAACTATTACCCATGGACTTAACATGTTCTGTTTGTTCTTAAGTAGAATCAGAGTTTATCGTAATCATATGTTTCCGTTTACATTTTAAAATATTACAAGATGGCCAAGACCAGGGTTAAGAAACCTTTAAAACATCTTTAATTTCAGCTTAACTGCAAGTTTGCATACTCTTCTTGGAAGCTGGATTTTTCCTCCTCAAAAAGAGAGAAGCAAAGCAACATGTGGTTTGTTACATTCGTTGCTCTTCTTAGCCTGTTTTGCATTAGGAGGTTATGGAAACCTAAAACTGAAAGCTCCATAAAGAAAAACCTTACAGGGAAGGAAAGAAATAGAGAAAAAAAGACATCTAAGACTCGGCCCTTTCCCGCGTCTGCTCTGAAAATACATTCCAGTGTAAAATGTGCATCCTTGGTAGTTGAAAGTAGAAAGGAGAAGAGAATAAATATTTTTTTTAAAAAACCACACAAGCCAGACATGGTGGTTCATGCTTGTAACCCCAACACTTTGAGAGGCCAAGGCAGGAAGATTGCTTGAGCCTACAAGTTCAAGATCAGCCTGGGCAAGACAGTGAGACACCTGTCTCTACAAAAAAAATACAAAAATTAGCCAGGCATGGTGATGTGTGCTCATGGTCCCAGCCACTTGGGAGGCTGAGGCAGGAAGATTGCTTGAGCCCAGGAGTTTGAGGCTGCAGTGAGCTTTGATCGTGCCACTGCACTCCAACTTGGACAACAGAATGAGACCCTGTCTCAAAAAAAAAGAAAAGAAAAGAAAAGAAAAACAAATATATATCTATATATATATATGTAGGTATATATATATAGGTGTGTATATATATAGAGGTATATGTATAGGTGTGTGTATATATATAGGTGTGTGTGTATATATGTATAGGTGTGTGTGTGTATATATATATAGGTGTATATACATATATACCTATAAAGTACTCCGGTTAAGTAGGCCTTGTATTTACCCTTCTGAGACAAAACACAAACAGAAAACTATAAATGTCCATTCATTCCAGGCCATTCTGTAAATTAACTGTCACACCTATTGACGGGCTTCTAGAAGTAGCATGGCAAAAGTCCCAGCCCACCTTCTTCGAATTGCTCCTAGCAGTGTTGATGGCAACAGTGAGTGTTTTCCTCACAAGCACAGAAAATTTGCAGTACAGATAATGCACTAGCAGTTGTCTTGAATTATTTTTCCCCTTATAATTCCACTATTAATTAAATTTGTTATTTATATAGCATCAGCATCATAATGCCTGGATGTTTCAAGGATCCCAAATATTTATGTGTGTGATCATCATATTTATTCTCCCTAAGAAATCTCTTAATTAGGCATGAGAAACTGAATGACAAGCATTTTTCTGTAGTAGATTTTAATTTGCCTGACTGTATGGGGGAAAAAAAAGCCACTTCATGAAAGATATTCGTAGGAATCAGTTGCATGTTAGGGAAGGTCATTTTAAAGGTTACTGGAAAGGCAAGAAGATGATCATAAATGTTGCTTGTATAGGAATTTGCTCTCCTCTTTTCTTTTCTTTTTTTTTTTTTTTTTTTTTTGAGATGGAGTCTTACTCTGTTACCAGGCTGGAGTGCAGTGGCACGATCTTGGCTCACTACAACCTCCCCTTCCCGGGTTCAAGCGATTCTCCTACCTCAGCCTCCTGAGTAGCTGGGACTACAGGCACGCGCCTCCATGCCCAGCTAATTTTTGTATTTTTACAAAATACAAAACATGGGGTTTCACCATGTTGGCCAGGATGGTCTCAATCTCTTGACCTCATGATCTGCCTGCCTCATCCTCCCAAAGTGCTGTGATTACAAGCATGAGCCACCGCACCCGGCCTTGCTCTCTTCTTTTATGTTTTGAGCGGTGGCTCCATTTACAGAGATTGTCTAGCCATATCATTGGATTCTTTCAAAAAACCTTTAGACTGTTCAGATCCTTAAAATGTGATGTCATAAAATGATTTCCTAAATCATACTTTTAGTCTTCATTAAATCGCTCCCACCAAACCCACTTTTCCAATAGGTAGAAGCATTTCAGAGATTGCTGGAATCTTGTTAGAATTTCTTGAAAGAAAAGCTGATAAGTTCAGAAATGGTTGACCATGGAAATGTGATCTAGTCTATTATAAAAGTAACAATGTACTCAGCTGTCTTTAATTGGAACTAGAGTTTGTGTTAAGTAAAAATGTTTGGTCTTCAGCAGAAAGTAGATTGTCTTTACAAGCCCATGTGATACGAGTTCTAATAGTCTCCTATTATTTGAGCTCATCTGCAATAAATTTTTGTTTGGGGACATATTGTTAGAATTGCCCAGATATGCTGCTAGAAAGAATATTAATTCTATTGCTTTTTTTTCATTTGTTGAAACTGAAAGATTTTAGTAAAAAAAAAAAAAGAAAATTAATGAAAAATGTATTATAGTGCTATGAGTTGAGCTATAATCAATTTTGTCTGAAAAGTTTGTTAATGGCTGCATTACTTCATTGCCTTCAGGATATCATGTGAGATACGTTCAGTAGAATGCGTTACACACAAACTAACAACTGAACCATGCTCATGGTCTCTCTTTTGTTCAGCATAATCTGCATTTAAGTGGAAGAGGTGATGGTTGGGTTGCTGAACTCATCCAAGAGTGCTGTCTTTGACTAAGTGCTTAGTACGTACTGATACTGGTAATGCCTAATAGGCAACAGAGCAACTATTATATAAAGATCTTCAAATACAGGCTAGTTTTGTTGTATTTGGACAATAAAATGATTTTGTATCTATAGAAATTAAGATGGTACAATGAACTGCTTCAGAAAGCTCAGGGTGTCATTTGTCTGATTATCTCCAGGGTTGGTGTGTGTGTTGGAGGGTCCCCTATGTTTTGGCCTTTGTGCTGTATAACTCTTTGGTCCGAAAGGCCAGCAAAGCCAAAATATTGTCATTGAGCTCCCCTAAATGAGACTGACAATCATTGCTTCATTTCTGGCTGAAATAATATGGTATTAAAAATTTCTAGGCCGTGGATGGGCACGGTGGCTCATGCCTGTAATCCCAGCCCTTTGGGAGGCCAAGGCAGGTGGATCACTTGAGGTCAGGAGTCCGAGACCAGCCTGGCCAACATGGTGAAAACTCATCTCTACTAAAAAAAATAAAAATAAGAATAAAAAACTACAAAAATTAGCCAGGCATGGTGGCAGGCCCTTGTAATTCCAGCTAATTGGGAGACTGAGGCAGGAGAATCGCTTGAACCCGGGAGGCAGAGGTTGCAGTGAGCCAAGATCAGTCCACTGCACTCCAGCGTGGGCAACAGAGCAAGACTCTGTCTCAAATAAATAAATAAATAAATTTCTAGGCCAGACACGGTGGCTCATACCTGTAATCCCAGCACTTTGGGAGGCCGTGGTGGATGGATCACCTGAGGTCAGGAGTTCAAGACCAGCCTGGCCAACATGGTGAAACCTCGTCTCTACTAAAAATACAAAAATGAGCCGGGTGTGGTGGCATGTGCTTATAGTCCCAGCTACTCAGGAGGCTGAGGTAGGAGAATTGCTTGAACCTGGGAGGTGGAGGCTACAGTCAGCTGAGATCGTACCACTGCACTCCAGCCTGGGCAACAGAGCAAGACTCTAAAAAAAAAAAAAAAATTCTAGATTTATTCTACTTACATTCTTGTGATGCTGCCAAGAGAAAAGCCAGGAAAAGCAAAGCATATTATTTTGCTATTTATAGGAAGCTCTACTTTAAAAACAAATAGTCATTTAGAGCATCAGCTTTGGTGTCAGACCAAGGTTTGAATATAGGCTCCTTCCCAAATTACCTGATAACTTTATACAATTTATCTTACTTTTCTCCTTTGTAAAATGGGAAAATAAGATCCACCTTATGTTGTTATAAGGATTTTTTTTTAAATGTACATGATTTAGTACAATGCCTAGCATATGAGTACTCCATAAGTTATAGCAGGTATAATAATGAGAGAGGTTCATTTGGCACTATTGTGTTCTTACTCAATCTATCACCAAAGATAAAGTAGTGACATCACACTGTATGTGAAAAATGACTCAGAATTCTAATACATACTTGAGTTCTCATGCTGTTAGTTTTGGGACTGATGGAGAGTTCTGGAGCAGTGAGAGCTCAGTGTGGAAGCCCTTGGTCTGATGGGGCTTCAGGGAACATTTCCTGGATCCATCCTGAACAAAGTCTTGAAGTAAGAGTTAGGTTAACAAAAGCAAGTGATTAGATGGCTCCAAGTAGAAGAAACAGCAGAATGAAACATATGGGTGGAAACTACCAGTTCTACAGCCTGAAAGTGAGGTCTGACTAATGATGGAGACAGAGCTAGAGGATCAGTAGGGACTGGAAATGGACGGGCTTCTTTGTAAAGAGTCTTAATTTTATCTCACGAAGGTTTTGGAAAAACTGAAGAAGGGATTTTGTTTTTTAATTTAAATAGAGACAAGGTTTCATCCTATTGTCCAGGTTGGTCTCGATCTCCTGGGCTCAAACAATCCTCCTGCCTCAGCCTCTGAAAGTGCTGGAATTACAGGCATGAGCCACCATGCCTGGCCCGCAGAAGAGATTTTAAAAGAAAATGAGACCAAGCACAGTGGCTCACACCTGTAATCCCAACACTTTGGGAGGCCAAGGTGGGAGGATGGCTTGAGGCCAGGAGTTCGATACCAGGCTAGACAACATGGCAAAACCCCATCTCCACTAAAAATACAAAAAATTAACCAGGGTGGTGACACACACCTATAGTCCCAGCTACTCAGCAGGGCCGGGGTGGGAGAATCACTTGAGCTCAGGAGGTCGAGGCTGCAGTGAGCCATGATCGCACCACCGCATTCTAGCCTGGGTGACAGAGCAAGACCCTGTCTCCAAAAAAAAAAAAAGAGAGAGAGAAAAGAAAAAAAGAAAATGAGACTAGGCATGGAGGCTCACACTATAATCCCAACACTTTGGGAGGCTGATGCTAGAGATCGCTTGAGGCTAAGAGTTAAGAGTTCAAGATGAGCCTGAACAACATAGTGAGACCCATCTCTATTAGAAATAAATAAATAAATAATAATTTTTTAAAAGAGAATGGCATCATTAGATTTGTGGTGTCCAGTGAAGAATGAACATAGGGATGGGCAGACCTGAGGGAGTGAGTTAGGCTGCGGTCGTGTCCAGGGTGGGGACATGGGCAGGCAGCAGCCGTAGGAGTAGGGAGGAAAGATACCAGCATGCTTCGTTTTACTGCACACTGCTGTATCATGCTTCACAGATACTGCGTTGTGGCAATCCTGTGTCAAGCAAGTCTACCAGCACCATTTATTCTGACACCATGTGCTCACTTCGTGTCTCTGTGTCACATTTTGATAATTCTAGCAATATTTCAAACTGCTTCATTATTTTTATATCTGTGATAGTGATCTGTGATCAGTGACCTTTGATGTTACTATTTTAATTGTTTTGGGGCACCATGAACTGTGCCCATATAAGATGGCAAATTTAATCGAATTTTTTTTTTTTTTTTTTTTGAGATGGAGTCTCGCTGTCACCCAGGCTGGAGTGCAGTGGCACGATCTTGGCTCACCGCAAGCTCTGCCTCCCGGGTTCACGCCATTCGCCCACCTCAGCCTCCCGAGTAGCTGGGACTACAGGCACCCACCACCACGCCCTGCTAATTTTGTTTTTGTATTTTTAGTAGAGACAGGGTTTCACCGTGTTAGCCAGGATGATCTTGATCTCCTGACCTCGTGATCCGCCCGCCCTGGCCTCCCAAAGTGCTGGAATTACAGGCGTGAGCCACCACGCCCGGCCATCGATAAATGTTTTGTGTGTTCTGACTACTCTCCCAGATGGCCTTTCCCTCATCTTTCTCCTCCTCCTTGGCTTTCCCTATCCTCTGAGACATAGCAATATTGCAATTGGGCCAGTTAATATCCCTACAGTGGCCTGTGTGTTCAAGTGAAAGGAAGAGGCACACATCTCTCACTTTCAATCAAAAGCTAGAAATGATTAAGCTTAGTGAGTAAGACATGTTAAAAGCTGAGAGAGGCCAAAAGCTAGTCCTCTTGTGCCAAACCAGCTAGCCAAGTTGTGACTGCAAAGGAATAGTTCTTGAAGGTAATTAAAAGTGCTAATCCAGTGAACATGAATTATAAGAAAGTGAAACAGACTTATTGCTGATAGAAAGTTTTAATGGTCTGAATAGAAGATCAAACCAGCCACAACATTCCCCTAAGCCAAAGCCTAATCCAGAGCAAAGCCCTAACTCTCTTCCATTCTACAAAGGCTGAGAGAGGTGAGGAAGCTACAGAAGAAAAGTTGGAAGCTAGCAGAGGTTGCTTCATGAGGTTTCAGGAAAGAAGCCATCTCTCTAACATGAAAGTGCAAGGTGAAGTAGCGAGTGGTGATGGAGAAGCTGCAGCAAGTTATCTGGAAGATCCAGCTAAGATCACTGATGAAGGTGGCTACACTAAACAACAGATTTTCAATGCAGTTGAGTTCCTATACTGGAAGACGATGCCATCTAGGATTTTCATAGCTTGAGAGGAGAAGTTGATGCCTCACTTCCAAGTTTTGAAAGACAGGCTGACTCTCTAGTTAGGAGCTGATGCAGCTGGTGACTTTAAGTTAAAGCCATTGCTCACTGACCATTCAAAAAATTCTAGGGCCCTTAAGAATTATGCTAAATCTACTCTGTCTGTGGTCTTAAATGGAACAACATCCATATGGCTTCTGGATGACAACATATCTGTTTATAGCATGGTTTACTATTTTAAGCTGAATGTTGAGAACTACTATTCAGAAAAAAAGATTTCTTTAAAAATATTACTGCTCATTGACAAGGTACCTGGTCACCCAGGAGCTCTGATGGAGATGCACAAGATTAGTGTTGCTTTCATGCTTGCAAACACAACATCCATTCTGCAGCTCATGAATCATGGATGGTTTCATCTTTCAAGTCTTACTTTAAAAATACATTTCTTAAGGCTATAACTGCCATAGATAATGATTCCTCTGGTGGATCTGGGCAAAGTAAACTGAAAACTTTCTGCAAAAGGACTTACCACTCCAGATGCCATTAAGAACATTCATGATTCGCAGGAGGATGTTAAAATATCAACATTTTGAAGAAGTTTATTTCAACCCTCATGGAAGACTTTGAGCAGTTCAAGACTTCAGTGGGGCTGGGCGCAGTGGCTCACGCCTGTAATTCCGGCACTTTCGGAGGCCGAGGTGGGCAGATTGCCTGAGCTCAGGAGTTTGCGACCAGCCTGAGCAACACGGTGAAACCCCGTCTCTACTAAAATACAAAAAAAAAATTAGCAGGGCGTGGTGGCACGTGCCTGTAGTCCCAGCTACTCAGGAGGCTGAGGCAGGATAATCACTTGAACCCGGGAGGCGGAGGTTGCAGTGAGCTGAGATTGTGCCACTGCACCCAGCCTGGCGACAGAGCGAGACTCCATCTAAAAAAGAAAAAAAAAAAAGAAACTTCAATGGAGGATGTAACTGCAGAAATATCAAGAGAACTGGAATTAGAAGTGGAAGCCAGGTAAGGTAGCTTACACCTGTAATTTCAGCTACTTGGGAGGCTGAGGTGAGAGGCTCAGGCCAGGAGTTTGAGACCAGCCTGGGCAACATAGTGAGGTGACGCAACACCTCTCTCTCTCTCTCTCTTTTTTTTTTTTTTTTTTTTTGAGACAAGGTCTGGCTTTGTCACTTAGGCTAGAGTATGTGGTGGCACAATCTCAGTGACCTCTGTCTCCCAGGCTCAAGTGATCCTCCTGCCTCAGCCTCCCGAGTAGCTGGGACTATAGGTGCACACTACCATTCCTGGCTAATTTTTGTTTTGTTTTGTTTTGTTTTGTTTTTGTAGAGATGGGATTTCACTGTGTTGCCCAGGCTGCTCTCGAACTCTTGAACTCAAGTAATCCACCCACCCTAACTTTCCAAAGTGCTGGGATTACAGGCATGAGCAACCACGCCAAGGCCCCATCTCTTAAAAAATTTTTTTTAATTAGCCAGGCATGGAGCACATGCCTATAGTCCTAGCTACTTGGGAGGCTGATGCAGGAGGATTGCTTGAGCCCAGGAGTTCAAGGTTGCCGTGAGTTATGGTGGCGCTACTGCACTCTAGCCATGGTGAGAGCAAAATCCTGTCTTAAAAATTAAAAAAAAAAAAAAAAAGTAAACCTGAAGATGTGACTGAATTGCTGCAATCTCATAATCGAATTTTATCAGACGAGGAATTGCTTTTTTTTTTTTTTTTTAGAGACAGAGTCTCACTCTGTCACCCAGGCTGGAGTGCAGTGGCATGATCTCGGCTCACTGCAACATATGCCTCCCAGGTTCAAGAGATTCTCCTGCCCCAGCCTCCTGAGTAGCTGGGACTACAAGTGGGTGCCACCACGCCTGGCTAATTTTTGTATTTTTAGTAGAGACAGGGTTTCACCGTGTTAGCCAGGCTAGTCTCAAACTCCTGACTTCAAGTGATCCACCCGTCTCAGCCTCCCAAAGTGCTGAGATTACAGGCGTGAGTCACCACACCTGGCCTGAGGAATTGCTTCTTAGAAATGAGCAAAGAAAGTGGTTTCTTGATGGAATCTACTCCTGGTGAAGATGCTGTGAACATTGTTGAAATGACCACAGAGGATTTAGAATATTACATAAAGTTAGTTGATAAAGCAGCAACAGAGTTTGGGAGGATTGACTCCAATTTTGAAAGAAATTCTACTGCGGGTAAAATGCTACCAAACAGCATCACATGCTACAGAGAAATCTTTTGTGAAAGCAAGAGTCAATTGATGCAGCAAACT
Organism: Homo sapiens; assembly: GCF_000001405.40. Classification (NCBI taxonomy): domain Eukaryota; kingdom Metazoa; phylum Chordata; class Mammalia; order Primates; family Hominidae; genus Homo; species Homo sapiens. The sequence goes on along the minus strand of NC_000012.12, from coordinate 42,494,261 downwards.
TCATCATTTCCTTATAAGAAATTGTCACAATCATCCCAACCTTTACCAACTACCATCCTGATCACGCAACAGCCACCAACATTGGTGGCTCCCTCCACCAGCAAAAAGATGATGGCTTACTGAAGGCTCAGATGATCATTAGCATTTTTTAGCAGTAAGATATTTTTAATTAAGGTATGTACATTGTTTTTTTAGACATTGTGCTGTTGCACACTCAGTAGACTATAGTGTAGTGTAAACATAACTTTTCTATGCACTGGGAAATTACAATATTTGCTTTATTGCAGTGGCCTGGAAGTGAACTCACAATATCTCTGAAGTATGCCTGTACAGAGTCAATAGTTAATTTTTCTTTTTTCTTTCTTTCGTTCTCTTTTTTTCTTTTCTTTTCTTTTTTTTTTTTTTAGACACGGTCTTACTCTGTTGCCCAGGCTGGGGTACAGTGGTGCAATCAGAGCTCCCAGTAGCCTCCAACTCCTGGGCTCAGATGATCCTCCCACCTCAGCCTCCTGGGTAGCTGGGACTGTAGGCACGTGACACAGTGCCTAGTGGAGAAAAATTTAAAAGATAGAAAGATCTAATACGTAACTGAATGATGATAGGCAAGAAGGAGGGTATCCTGAGTAAAGGAGGCATCTGTGATGACTGGGTTTCTAGTTTACTCAGAGTATTAGTGGTCTCATAAACAAACTGGGAATAGAAGACGAAGGACAATATTTGTTTGGAGGTAGATGGATCATATGATTTAGAAATTCAGGCTTTCTAAAGAGATTTCAAGTTAGTCAATTCGTTTGAATTTGTGTCAGATCTTTTTTTTCTGGTTAACCATTACCCTATCAGATCTTATAAGCCAAAAAGAGCAAATGACCTAAACAATAAATTTTTTGAATTTTTAATTTTTATGGGTACATAGACGGTGTATATATTTATGGGGTACATGAGATATTTTGATACAGGTTTGCAGTGCATAGTAATCATATCATGGAGAATGGAGTGTCCGTCACCTCAAGCATTTATCCTTTGTGTTACAATCCAGTTATACTCTTTTAGTTATTTTTAAATGTACAATTATTATTGACTATAGTTACCCTGTTGTGCTATTAAATAATAGGTCTCATTCATTCTTCCTAACTATTGAGATTTCTTTAAATATTTGAATTGGAACATTGAAACTCTAATGAGTTGACTCACTTTTAAAAATCCAAATAAAAATTTAAAAAAAAATAAATAAATGGACTGATAATTAAGACTTAGTATGCGCAAGATTCTGAGTCAGGTTCTGTGGAGGATAAAATATGAACAAGTTAGTCATTCACCACTCCATAAATATCTATTGAGAATCCCCTAGATGCCAGGTAAAGTATCTGCTGTATCTAATGTACCAGGCCAGAGTATCTCAGCACTTTGGATATATCATTAAACAAAACAGACAAGATCCCTTCCCTAGTCCCTCTATAATCCAGCGCAGACTCAATGTTCAAGAGATTAAAGCTCTCCAAACATAAAGGAGAAAATAAATATTAAAAGTAACTTGGATCAAAAGACAGTTACTTACTAGAGCTGCGTGTGATTCAAGATCAGCAGAACAATTTGAATTCCAAATCTTGGCCCTGGTGCAGTCTAATTAAAGCTTGTAAACCAGTCTTCACTACAAAATCACCTCCTTTAAATTCCTACAGTTGCAGAAAGGGTCTTGGAATCTCAGATAAGATAAAGAAATGTTATGGAAAGCTTTGCTGGCTGTTTTCTTCTTCCAGGAGGCTTCTGGCTGCTCGAAATAATTCTTTACTGACACCTCTCTAAGAACACCTTGGTTAGTTATAGCACATGGTAACAGTGTTAAAAGTTGGCATGCCCAGATTTTCCCTTGTGGAGAACCAACCATCCTAGTTGGTGGAGAGTTTAAATATAAAAAGAAAATACCTGGTGAGCAAAATAGTTTTGAGCACATAGTTCATGAAACAAAGCAGCAAATATTCTATAATTTTAAAATTTAGCTGGGTGTAGTGCCTCACGCCTGTAATCACAGCTACTTGAGAGGCTGAGATGGGAGGATCACTTGAGCCTGGGCGGTAGAGGCTGCAGTGAGCTATGATTGCACCACTGCACTCCAGCCTAGGTGACAGAGCAAGACCCTGTCTCTGAATAAATTTTTTTTTTTTTATTTAAGATGGAGCAGGCCAGGCGCGGTGGGTCACGCCTGTAATCCCAGCACTTTGGGAGGCCGAGACAGGCAGGTCATTAGGTCAGGAGTTTGAGACCAGCCTGACCAATATAGTGAAAACCCGTCTCTACTAAAAATACAAAAAAATTAGCCGGGCGTGGCGGCGGGCACATGTAGTCCCAGCTGCTCGAGAGGCTGAGGCAGGAGAATCACTTGAACCCGGGGAAGTGGAGGTTGCAGTGAGCCAAGATCATGCCATTTTACTCCAGCCTGGGTAATAAGAGTGAAACTCCGGCTCAAAAAAAAAAAAAAAAAAAGATGGAGCAGTGTCTATTATTTCAAAGTTTTGTATAAAACCCTAACTACTAGATTGCACACCCTCATTTAACATACTAGCTTTCCAATGACATTTTGATCTCTGCAGTAGGAGTTAGTTGGGTAGTTCTTCCACATGGATTACATTCCAACCTAAAAATCATGTGCCTACTTCTTTTATAATGATAGGCCCCTGAGCTCTTTTAATGTTTTAATTTTTTACTTTCTTGAGGCAGAGTTTCTCTCTTGTCACCCAGGCTAGAGTGCAATGATGTGATCTCGGCTCACTGCAACCTCCACCTCCCAGGTTCAAGCGATTCTCCTGGCTCAGCCTCCCGAGAAGCTGGGATTACAGGCACCCACCACCATGCCTGGCTAGTTTTTGTATTTTTAGTAGAAATGGGGTTTCACCATGTTGGCCAGGCTGGTCTTGAACTCCTGACCTCAGGTGATCCGCCCACCTCGGCCTCCCAAAGTGCTAGGATTACAGATGTGAGCTACCGCGCCCGGCCACTGAGCTTTTTAACATTACATGTAAATAGTGTAATATTTTTAAATACTCTATTTTAAAGGTGAATATCAACAGGAAGATAAAGTTTGAGCTTAGAAGCCTGGCGCAGTGGCTCACAACTGTAATCCCAGCACTTTGGGAGGCTGAGGCGGGCAGATCCCCTGAGGTCAGGAGTTCGAGACCAGCCTGGCCAACATGGTGAAACCTTGTCTTTCCTAAAGATAGAAAAAGTAGCCAGGCACGGTGGCGCATACCTGTAATCCCAGCTAAGTTACTTAGGAGGCTGAGACAAGAAAATTGCCTGAACCCGGAGGTGGAGGTTGTAGTGAGCCAAGATCGCACCATTGCACTCCAGCCTGAGTGACAGAGTTAAGACTATGTCTCAAAAAAATAAAAATAAAAAAATAAGTTTGAGCTTAGAAATATAAGTCCTTCAGTTACTGTGTCTCCCATGGGCAGTGAAAAAAAATGGCAATTCCAAGTGAGAGCTTACATCAGGGCTAAGCTGTTGGTTGTCTTTCAAGTAAACCATGGATATACTGACTCATTTAGGAATGTCTGGGTCCCTCCTGCCACCCCTTCCACTGCCCCTACCCAGACTGTACACCCCGGGCAGCCACAAGTCCAGTTTATCCACCCTGAGAAATCACGTCCTCAGACACACCGACTATCTTCTCTCCCCTTGACTACTGTGGCAGCTTTGAGACTCTTGCCATCTGGTTTCTCTGCAGGGTTTTCTCCACTCTCCCTCTAATTAGGGCATAAATACGACCATGTCACTCTTCTCTGCTTAAGCTTCTGTGGCTCCCCACTACCCCTAGAATAACTTGGCATCTTTCTGATGGCTTATGCAGCTATTCACAGCCTGGGCCTGGCTGCCTTTGGGCAGTCTCCAGCCTCTCCCTCCTGTGTTCCAGCTCTTTTGGCCCTCAAACTTTGACCGGCTCAGCCTGGACTAGGCCCCCTTCCCTGTCCCAAACCCATTCCATTCATCACTCTGATCAAATCCTTTTAGTCCTTAAAAATGCAGCTCAAATGTCACCCCACCTTCACGGTTCCTGAATCTTGACTTCTTACCGAATTGACGTATCAATATTTCCTTTTATTCCTATATTAAAATTTAACCATACCTCAAATATTCCTATAATCACCATGTATCATGGTTTGTTCTGTAGTTCTGAAAATTAGACCAGTCATTTATTTTCCTCACTTTTTTGTGTATTTTTCTCTGTCTTCTTTTTGGAATAAATCAAGATACAGAATATGGATTTAGAATGCGAAGTCTCTAAGTCAAGGGAAAGGTCTAGGTCGAACAGTGGTGCCCTTCAACAAGTAATACCCTACATCTCAGCCAAAGAATCTATCAGTGAATCCATGGATGGATGCATGAGGGATCAGACAGCCCCTGTCCCACTATGTCTGGCTCTATGGAAATGTGGGACTGGTGACACCCTCCTTCTCACAGTATTATAAGTAAATGCAGCAGAGAGTCCACTCTTGAAGCTTGTGACTGGGAGGAAGAAAGCATGGAGAGGAAGTATGCATTCAGGTATCTTCTCATACCAACTAATACTTAAATTTGGAATTTTTTTTTTTTTTTTTTTTTTTTTTTTTAGAGAAGTCTCGCTCTTATCCCCCAGGTTTAAGTGCAATGGCTCAATCTGGCTCACTGCAGCCTCTGCTTCCTGGGTTCAATCCATTCTCCTGCCTCTGCCTCCCAAGTAGCTGGGATTAAGTCGTCTGCCACCATGCCCGGCTAATTTTTGTATATTTTAGTAGAGACGGGGTTTCACCATGTTGGCCAGGCTGGTTTCGAACTCCTCACCTCAAGTGATCTGCCCACCTCGGCCTTCCAAAGTGCTGGGATTACAGGCATGAGCCACTGCGCCCGGCCTTAAATTTGGAATGTTAATTTCTGCTTTCAAACTTTTCTTCCATATATTAATATTGTAGTATATTTTAGTATATTGAGACCCTGTCTCAAATAAATAAATATTTATAGGGTCTGGTGACAGCTCCAGACCCTATCTCAAATAGATAGATAGATACAGCCAGGCGTGGTGGCTCATGCCTGTAATCCCAACACTTTGGGAGGCCGAGGTGGGCAGATCACCTGAGGTCAGGAGTTCGAGACCAGTCTGAACAACATGGAGAAACCCCATCTCTACTAAAAATACAAAATTAGCCAGGCGTGGTTGCGCATGCCTGTAATCCCAGCTACTCAGGAGGCTGAGGCAGGAGAATCGCTTGAACCTGGGAGGCGGAGGTTGTGGTGTGCCGAGATTGTGCCATTGCACTGCAGCCTGGGCAACAAGAGCGAAACTCTGTCTTAAAAAAAAAAAAAAAAAAGATAGATTGATAGAGAAAAGGTTTACATATAATGTGAAAATATAAAAATTCACTTATTTTATCAATATAATTTTTAAATGATAATTTCCTATAATCTGCCCTCCCCTGGAAACCATACTACTGGTTTGGTATTTATAGTATCTAAATAATTTTGCAATGTATATGTCAGCTTACCAAATATTACTTATAACAATATGATTATACTGTATACTGGGGTTTGCAATTTAATAAATGTTGGATATGTTGCCATGGTACAGCTCTCTCAATATTTATTGGAATATATTTTCTTAGTTTCTTAACATTTTGGTAGCTTTTCAGTAGTGAAATTTAAGAGTGTATCAAACCACAGATGGACAGGTGTTGAGAGGGTTGCAGAGCCTAAGGTCAGAACCTAAAGTTTTTTATTCAATTAAGCTGAATGCTAGTTTAATTATCTGTTCATGAAAAGTAACAAACATTTCCTGGGTTGGGGGAAGGAGTATTTCAGAATAGTTGGGAGTAAGGGTTAGGGTGGGCAAAGATGGCAGTGTGTCTTCAGTAGTAGATAACAACCCTGAACAAGGTCAATGAACGGACCTGGTCCTATATTCTCCCACACAACTTGGGCTGTGGACTCCAGACAGCACAGCTGTAAACACCTATCTGGTATTAGTGTCATAATCAGCTATTGAGTCTTTAGAGACCCAGGAAATACTAGAACTGGTGGAGCTTCTGGGAGCATCTAGTTAGAGAGGGAGGTGCCTGGGGGCTGCCTTGGAACAACAGGGGTGAGGAGAGTTGTGGGAGAGTGTCAGGAGGAAGCCAGTCCAGAACTTCAACAAAGCAGTGACACTTCTGTTTCTATATCGAGATGTTTATTTCATTTTATTTATTTATGTTTTGGAGACAGGGTATCACTCTGTCACCTAGGCTGGAGTGTAGTGGCATGATCTCACTACAACATCTGCCTCCTGGGTTCAAGCAATTCTCTTGCCTCAGCCTCCCAAGTAGCTGGGACTACAGGCGCCCGCCACCATGCCCAGCTAATTTTTGTATTTTTAGTAGAGATGGGGTTTCATCATGCTGGCCAGGCTGGTCTTGAACTCCTGACCTCAAGTGATCCACCCGCCTTGGCCTCCCAAAGTGCCGGGATTATAGGTGTGGGCCACTACGCTTGGCCGAGATTTTTTGTTTTAGTTGGAAAGTGGATTGTGTTCTCTCCTCAAAAGTTCTAAACATTGACCTAATCCAAACTCCAGCATTTTTAGAGATGAAAAACACAACACCTTAGAGAAGTGATTCCTCCCATTGTCACATAGTAATTGACAGATAATAGACATTTAAGTCTCCTAACTTCAAACCCAGTGCATCAGGGTACTGTGAAGGGAGAGTTTACCTCCCTCACAAAGGAAGGAGGGTCAGGGAGGGGATGGGTGCCTAGGATTATTGGAGTAGTAAATCTAAAGAGGGATTGGGTGTAGAAAACGTTAAAGAACCAGTGCTCTCTAATCACATTGCTTTAAATATAATCAAAGGGGAAAGAGTAATTGGAGACCTTGGGAAACTGCAACCTATTATAAAACTTTATAATGCCTGTTAGCCCTAAGAAGAGCTTGGTATCTGCCTTGGGGCCCTTCCCTGGGGATGCCACAGACCCAGGTAATGGTAACTAGAATTTGCAAATGTTCAATGACCCACCAGGGTATAATGACCAATCGGGGATACAACAGAAATGTTTAAAATTGACAAGAAAGTAACACATTTGGCATAAACTTTCAGCAGTAACAAATTTGGAAAGAAACAAAATATCATTACAGTGATTCCTTTGGATATTAGTTTCTTCATCTGGGTAAGATGTAGGATCCCAAGGGTTTTGTGAACTCTACATTTGTATGATTGATTTTGTGATTCTTTTAGATACCTATCTACATAGTCAGAACAACCAAACTGCTGTTCTGGAATATGCTCGCATTGAAAACTAGAACTGCCACCCTATTTAATACTACATCTGCCAACTGCCCCTCAAATTTAGGTTAGATGTCATTTGTGATTATCAGAGCCTTTGATCTCTCATTTCTATTAAGAAACCTGAAAGACATCTAATCATTTAAATACATTCTTCCTAGATTGCTGGAACTTACAGTAGTTATAAATCCTTTCAAATGTCTGATACCAAGAGCAACTAACTCTTACCCTTAAAACTAAAAAGGAGGTCTTTTTAGAAGGGAAAAAATGAAGGCAAGGAGCAGAAAAGACCTCAGGGTCACTATATACACAACATGGAAGAACCAGGGATTAGCGCCAAAGTTGGCTTTGTACTGTGTCCTTTATCTCTTTCTACCAGACCCAACGCAGCTGGCTGACATTTGACAAACAAAATGCTGCCTCTTTATTTCTCTGCCTTTGGCATATTTCTGATTTTCTATTATCCTCTCCTCCATTAGGACATTGTAGTTCAGCTTGACTTTAGATTAGAAACAGACTTGTACAGGTATAGTATACTTATGAGGGCCTGAGAAGAATAATGTCTGAGAATCATTCATTCACTTAACTCATGTTTATTAAATTTGTCTGCTATGTGCCAGGCATCATTCTAGGTGCTGAGAATACAGTAGTGAGTCCCCAAAGTCCCCAGCTTCTAGGAAAGGAGAAAGACAACGAACGATAAACAAATAGACATGTAAATACCTGGCAATGCTAAGTGCTTTGCAGACAAATATTGCAAATGGAGGGAGGGTGATATTTTAGTTAGGGAGTTGAAGCCTTCTCTGTAGAGATGACCTTAGAGCAAAGACCAGGATGGAGCGAGGGAACCAAGCCCTGTGAATTTTTGGGCTTCCTTTCTCAACTGGCCCCTAAAGTGTGATCTGCAAGCATGAATATTCCACCTGGCTGAAACAAAAGGATGCTGGTTGGGGGCCTTGCTCTCCATTCTGCATAAGTTCACCCTTGACAATAACAACCCCTTTCAGACCAGACTAAAGTCTGTTTCATTGAGATTGAACCTTTGTAGGAAGCTTGCAACTGTCTCCACACTGCTTCATCACTAAAAACGCTTACAATGGGTAATAAACCATGACAGTACCTGTTGAAAATATAACAAAACGTATTTACAAGTAACTGCGTTAGAGGAAGCACATTTACAATGGCTGACATTTAATAGTGATAAGTGCTGCTATAGTTTGTAGTTGGAAGTATTTTGTTGCCTAATGTAGCTGTCCTTTAAAAGCTATTCCAAAAAGGGTCTGCCTGGCTTAATGTATTCACCTGCTGATACTCCCTTTATCATAATCATATGATATTTCAGAGTTTGATTTAAATCAATAATTGATTGCGCATTTCTCCTATAGGTAGGTAGCTGAAATCTTCCCTGAGGAAGCCCAAACAGAGTGAAGTAGGAAAAAGGAAATCTGACCTAGGTATTCATGGTTAATTTTACAGATCCACAGAGGAAAATGGTAACCTTTGAAGTCTTCCCACAAATCCCTAAACTAGGCCTAAGGCCAGAAGAGTTCTATATCAGAACGTTTTGGGAATCGTCTTCAAAACCGGAATCCATTTGGCCAATAAAGAGTCTATTTGAATTACAAATTGTGTTGTCCGAATCAGTGTTTCCAAACTAGTCTACCAGCAGAGCCACAACTTTTCTGTTTCTGCCACTTTAAGAGAGTAACAAAAAAAAAAAAAAAAAAAAAAAAAAAAAACTTCTCAGCTGCCTTACTTTGTAGCTGAGATAACAGAATTTGGCCACAGAGTGATTTACTTGACTGATCTATTTATGGCAACTTGTTTATGTATTTTTAAATCACAGTTACAATGAGCTATTGTTCACGTGTATACTGTAGAACCACATAGGTTGCAAATCAATCCCAAGGAATCCTGATGGTACAGGATTATTTTTTAGCTTAAAAAAAAAAAGATACCAAAGGAACTGGTGACCACTTTAAATTGCTTTTATTTACTGATATTTTACAAATTGATGAAGCTCTTAAATATTGCATTTTCCCCTTCATTCTCTTGGTATTTCTATCACCTTGTGATAAGGAGGCTATAGTGGAAACTAAAATTTGTAGTTCAGAAGAGATTAGACCTCTACTGATGAGTACTAATCTATCATTTTTTTTCTGGGCTTGCTTTGAGGATATGTTTTGCTTCTCTTGACCCTTTCTGTAGACAACTGAAGCCAAACTCCACTTTCTCTCAGTGTACCTACAAATAGCTCAGAAACAAGATTAGCTTCAGTATGGGACACTTCCTTGTGTTTGAATAATGATATTCACTTAACCTATTTGTAAAAACTCTCAGTAGTGTACTTGAGTTAGTACATCGCGTGACCTGGCTCCTTTTCTTTGCTGTTATTTACTGATAAAAATAAATCTCCTGCGCTAAGCAGTAGGAATCACTCCGAAATGCAGGGAAAGTCCTAAGAGAATTCATATGCTAATGAGCCCTTCTAAGTGAGAACTTGCTTAAATGTGCCATTTGCTGACATCATTGTTATGGGCAGAGTGGAGATGATTTCTTTAAGAGGTGGCCTTTCATATTCTCCCAGCGTTTCGTGGCCCGCGCGTGCACCTGCGGGAGGGGGAAGTTTACATAAGCGTCCTAGGGTATTTGCATCTTAGCGGCTTCACTCACTGGGCTCGGGAGAATGGAGCGGGCGGGCGGCGGTAGGTGCTCGAGCCGCTAGGCTGGCCAAGGGGGTGGGTAACTTTTCGAGGAATTGTGCGCGCGGGACCTCGTGGAGATCGGCCAGGGGCACGGTCAGCAGTGACAGTTCCTGGAAAGCGGGCGGCGGCGGGAGCAGGCTGGGCAGGCGCCGCCCGCGGGCGGGAGCGGGGAGCTGGGTCCGGCTGGGATCGAAGGGCGGGATCGGCAGGAAACGAAATGGTTACTTTTTTTTTTTTTTTTTTTTTTTTTTTTTTTTTTTTTACTGCGGGCTCTGATTACTTTTGAAGATCGCCGGCCCCAGGCGGGCTCCCGGCGCTGAGCGGAGACGAGTTTTTCTCCCCGCAGAGGAGGATCCTGGAAGGACGCGGAGCTGGGGCTTGGGGGATGCAGTGGCCTGGACGAGGTGACTCCAACCCGGGGGAGCAGAGTCCGTCACGCCGGCAGGGACCGAGGGTCTCTGCGGAGCTGGAGGACCTTTTGTGGGATGCCTCACGGCTGCTGAGGGGCTGCAGCGGGTGAGGATCGCCGCGCTGCGCCGCCAGGGAGCTCGGCGGGGACCGGCCGGGGGGGAAAGTGCGTCACGGCGGGGCGGGGGCGACCCCTCGCCCGCCAGGCGGGGCCAGCACCGGGACGCGACCCGGGGGCGCGGTCCGCTGCAATGTAGTGGGGACCCGGTGCTTGCTGCCCCACCCTGCTGGGGTCTCCTCCGGAAATGAGTGGGTGCGGGTGACTCGTAGGGCACCCAGCCCTCTGTTCCTTCGGGAGTCCTCCGCTCCCGCTCCGGGCCGCCAGCCTCCTTCAGACGCAGAGCGGGCGGGCGGCTAGTGCGCGCCGAGGGCTCAGGGGCCGGCGCCGCGAGGGGCTGCAGGCCGCGCTCGGCCGCTGTCCGGGCCGCAGGTGGGAGCCGCTGTCTGGGTCCCAGGGCTGGATGGCAGCCGGCGGCGGGGACTGAACGCGGGAGGGCTGCAGGGTGCGCGCCGGCGAGGGGCTTCTCGTTGGAAGCTGAGGGACAGACGTGGGGACCCGTGGCTGCTCGGCCCCACCGTCCAGCCGCAGGGCGAGTGCTGCTCCGTGGAGGTGACACGGCGCCAAGAGCGGCGCGAGGCTTTCTGCTGGAGGAGGGTAACGGGGAATTCGAAGGCGACTGTTCTATGCTGGAGGACAAGGGGCACTGTTCTCTCGGGGCTTCGCGTCGGCGCCGAGGAGGGGTTCGCTCGCTGCCTCTGCGTCCTGAGCTCGGCCTCTGGCTCCTGGGGCCGGGGACGCAGAGAGGGGCTGGAGCCGGTCGACCCACGGCCCAGGGCGCCCCCTCGCGGCCTAAGCAGCGGCCGCCGCCTGGAGCGCAGAGTTTGCGGGGCCCAGGGGGCGCCGACGCCCGCTCTGAGGCGTCTCTGCTGCTGCGGCGGCGGGGATGGGGACGACCCAGGGGACCCCCTGCAGCCATCACTGGCAGCCCCATCAAGAATTGGCCGGCTGAGTTTTCCCAAAGTACGGTGACATCCTTTCCTTCTCGCTTCCTCCAGCCCCATTTTTAAAAGCTCGGCCTTTCCCGTTAGTCTGTGTCCTTATAAGCCAGGCTATGTGTGGAATTTGTTTTTACAACTCGAGTCTTGTGACTTCTCAAACACTTTCTTGAAGTGTTTTCTCTGGAAACTTGTTTCAAATGGGTGCTGTAAGTTTCACAAAGAGGAGTGTTGTTCAGGAGCCAACAGGTGACGGGGCGAAACCTGAGTCTGTGTGTACATTGGAGTCAAGTCTGGCTGCCGTTTCCTCGGGCCACTGTTGAAAATAGAAATCCAAAAAATCAATAGAAGACTGAGGAGAACACGATTTTGAGAAAATATCTGCATCCCCCATTATGGAAAATAATGGGCTCATTAGAGCACCGCCTTGTGTGGTGCCCCTCATTCCATGGCATGCATTTTGGATTTTGTCTTTACATACTCGTGTGCGGATAATCTGACCCTAGAAGCGCCGCGCTGGCGGAGGACCAGGCTTTGTCGTCATGTTTCCTCCTTTTGTTTCTTACTGTCATGGAATGTACTTGTGCATGAAATTAGAATGCTTTGAAAGAGTTCCACATTTCCTCTTGGAAAAATGGATAGTTTCTTGACCATTGGGTGATGTGTGATAGCCCACTCAGCTGTTGGGAAATGTACAAGCTGGATGGAGGTTTACCTCGAAAATGCTGGACGGAGGTTTACCTGGAAAATACAGAAAATACTAAAGGGCATATGGCCTAATGCCACTAATTGCTCGTATGGAAAACTTAGTAAAGGAATGTTTCATAAACAATATCTCCTGATAACTTCATTATGTTTTTATTTTTCAAATAAGTGAAATTGAATTGGGCTTTGTTGGCAGTGACTTTGTCTTTAGTAGACAGTAAGCACTGAATGCCCCTTGAGTGTGTGAAACCTTTAAAGAAATGACAGTTTAGTGTCTCTTTTACTGGAAAATTCACATCTCGATTGAAGTTAAGGACATCCTAAACAAGGAAATGTGTATATCCATAAGGGTGGTATATTTTGTATTGTGAAAAGAATGGATGTGTGACATGTTTCTGTACTGCTAAATTAGTCTGTAGTTAAATTTAATTCACCTGCATATGTAGTCTGGGAGAATTGGAGTAGCTTTTGAATGGAGAACCTGTGATCTGCATCTTCCATGCACTAAGGCCTTGTTAACAAGCAGTTTAACAAAGAAGCTGTTAAGCAGTTTGTAGCCCACGGATGGCACTTAGCAGCAGGGGACACCTAGGGAATGTTGGCCTAACTGACTTCACAAATCAGTATCTGTTCTGGCTTTTGGTGATCAGAGGATTTCTAACTTCCCTGGGCATGTTCACACAAGAAATACTTTTTCATAGGGATCTTACAATGCCATGGTAGTCTTCATATAGGAACTAGAGTGGGATTGCATTGGAGAAAAAAATGTAATTAGGGATATGACCTTATACTTCATTTTCAATGGCAGGCCCTGACAATTACTGTTTTCTATTTGCATGATTTTGATTTGGTGACTTGGTTCAAGAAAATTATGAATAATAGGAATCATACCAGACCTGATATACAGTTACAACCTCAATATGTATCTGATTAAACTCATTCTCCTGAAATCCCTCAAATCCTCACTCCCCTTCTGAGTTGCCCTAAGGTACTTATGTATTGGTATGTCAATCACCTAATACTCAAAACTGTCTTTGGCCCAATTTCTTCCTTTCCTATTAGTTCCTTTTACTTTCCCTCCCCAAGTCACTATGTGTAAGCTTTCTTAGGGACAGTGTACTAATTGGCCCCTCTCAGGTTCTTTATCTTTTTCCTGACCATCACTACCATATTAATCTTCTTTAAGACCCAGAAGTATCTTGTGGCAGTCTCCATTCATGTCTTTTGCAGCTTCCCATTGCCTGTAGTGATAAGCCCACAGTTTTCTGCCTGAAATGTGTAATTCTTGAAAATAGGATTCAGACACCATTGCCATCTGTTGTTGCTTCTTTGGAAGAATCTGTCTTCTAGCAAAACCGTCCACTCTTCACTGCCTCTGGACCTTCATATACTGTGCTGACTTATTAAGCTCTTTACAGAAACATAGTTATGGCTCATTTATGTATATGTCAAGGTCAATCAAGATAATAATCCTTAGCTATCCTGGAAGCAGCATACAGACCAGTAGAAAATGAAATGATCCCCAAGTGGCCAAAATAGCATAACGAAATAATAAACCTTCTCTTTAGTTTGAATAACACCTTCTCACACTGTATGCTATCTTATTTCACCAGTGGTTACTGTGCTTATAGGAGAAGTCCTTAAGCCCTTGTCCATGCCATAATTACTACATAGATTTTTTTTTGGGACAGGGTCTTGCTGTATTGCCCAGGCTGGTCTCAAACTCCTGGGCTCAAGCAATCCTCCCACTTCAGCCACCAGGTAGCTGAGAGTATAGGCATATGCCCAGCTTCTGTGTACTTTTAGACAAACTTTTTCAAAGAATGGTTGCCTAATACCGGAAGCAACAAATTTTGAAAGGTTTGGAGGTTGTTGGCTGTGGGCAAAAGAGAAAGGCACCTTAATAAGAGACAGGTAGCAGGGATCAAAACATTATGAGAGCAGGGAGAAAAAAACCTACAAAAAGTTTGCTAGTTATCATAAATGTATGGGTCAGGGGCCATTCTGTTTCTTGAATCCCGAAGCCAGTGTTTTCTACTGTGCTCAAAATGAAAACAAATGATCAGCCGAAGGCTAAATCACATATAATTTTTACACGTGCCACCACGAAAGAAAGCAAGGAGATGAATAATGGAATTTTTTTTTTTTTTAAGATGGAGTTTCGCTCTTGTTGCCCAGGCTGGAGTGCAATGGCATGATCTTGGTTCACTGCAGCCTCTGCCTCCCAGGTTCAAGCAATTCTCCTGCCTCAGCCTCCCAAGTACTGGGATTACAGACATGCGCCACCATGCCCGGCTAATTTTGTATTTTTAGTAGAGATGGGGTTTCACCATGTTGATCAGGCTGGTCTCGAACTCCTGACCTCAAGTAATCCACCCACCTTAGCCTCTATAGTGCTGGGATTACAGGCATGAGCCACTGCACCCGGTGGCTACATTTCTTTCTAAGTTCTGGCTTTTAATGGAATAAATGTCAGTTGGCTCCTTTTGGCATTCCCCAGAACCGTTCAATAACAACTTTAAATATAAGGATGAATGAATGAATGCAGTGAATGAACCTAGAAAGTAAATTTCACAAAGGAACCCCTCATTATATCACTGTGTTATATGAATAAGGCCATACTTGAATTTGGGGAACAAGCTTTACCTAGAAAAACTGTCATGCTCCATAGACCACTACACATGCTGTGTGCGAATGTGTGCACGCACACACGCTATGTGTATGGTATTGGAGGCTTTATGTGGGGACTGGTTAGAAGCTGCTACCGAAGCAGCTGGAAACGTTGGTCAATAACTTGGCAAAATTGTCTGCCGTTCAGAAGGCTAGAGCTCTCGCAAGCTCAAAAAGAAGATGAAACTCAGGTTTTGTTATTAACATATTGTTTCAATTCCATTTGTCACTGGTTAGCTTCAAGAAAGTCTGTTTAGTCCCAGTGGAAGCAGCAATGCCAATTGGTACGTTGCAATAGGAGCTTTAATTCTTTATGGTCGTGAAATTCTTTTCTGTTTTAAAACATCCTTAGACCATCTTTGGAAGGCAAATAGTGGCTATTTTTTAAAATCAGGTCTCAAGATGTTTGTTGACTTGTCAAAGCTTTGAAGACATCAGGACCAAGTTTACTGAATGCTGAGAGCATCAGATTCCATTCCCTAAGTATAGCCCTTATCCTTTGGGTCAGATGTTCTCTTGACAATGATGATTGAGAAGTCTTACATCTGTTAGCTGCTTGTCTTTGTTTTTAATGATGAGAAATAGCTATTTAACTATTTTGAAGGAAGAGGCGAGAGAAAGGACAAAGGAGGGAAATGGAACTGTTCCATTTTCTATTGCATGGAATAGCCCCATGATATTCCTTGCCTTTCTAAAAAAAAAAAAAAAGAGTATCCCAGCTCTCTCTACATGACCTTGGGCTTCTTTCTCACCTCCCTTGTGACCATACCCTTCTTTTCTGTTTGACATTTATTTCTCTACTTGACTCTGATAGTAGGCTTTTAGTTTTCAAAATAGTGTCTGCAAAGAACTCATGAACCTGCTAGAGAATTAAGTTCTAACAGCAGTTCCTTGTGCTTGACCACCCCCTCCCAATGCCATCTTTGATGGTGGTGGTAGCTGTTAAAAGGTTTTGTGCCCTCCACACACCTCCTTAATGGTCAGACTATTTGGAACCTGAACAAACCCATCTCTGAAAACTGTTTTGCTTTTCTTTCTCCTTCATTATGAGGTTTATTTACATTCAAAATTATAGAGAGACACTGGAGAAATAGGATGCCTATTGATTTATTTCCAAACTTAGCACAGGATTGGTTAATGCATAGTTGACATTCATTTATGATTAAGTTTGCTACAGCATTTTAAGACCAAGACAATAAATCTGCCTTAGAATAGTCAAGAATACTGATGTTTTGAGCTGTGGTTAGGTAAAAGAATGTAAAAAAATACACTCTCAAATGGATCCCACAGAAGTGTGTATACATATGAGAGAGAAAGAGGGAGAGGGAGGGAGGATGATGATGCAAAAGCAAATGGAGCAAAATGTAAACCATTGATGAGTCTGGGTAAGGGATGCATCAGAGTTCTTTTACTATTGCAACTTTTTGGAAGTTTAAAGTAACGTCCAAATAAAATTGTACCAAAAAAAAAAAAAAAAAAGTATAGGGCAGGGCCACTGTTAGTTCATCTAAGCATGGTTCTACAAAAGAAAAAAGAAGCATCATAAAAAAAGTTTTACTCTGTCATAACCCCAACTTTGAATAGTTCTATTTCCATTATAATGCAGCCTACTTTTAAACCTGATTCTGCCCGTTTCATGTGATCAACCTTAAGAGACAATACCTGAAAATAAAGTTATTAGAATTTTTCTATTAGGTCTGATTTACCTGTGGTCTCATATGCTTGGCTTAAAGCATGATGTTTTGGCAGACCACATTCAACCATGGTTAGGTATCCTCAGGAAGACCTTCAGCCATGACCCAGAGCAGAAGGAATGGCCAGGCTCCCTTCTTCCTTCTGTGCTACAAAAGTAAATACCATATAGTGTTTTAAATGCCTAAGGAAGGGTTATTTGTGAGGTCATATATATATATATATATATATATATATATATATATATATATATATATATACACACACACACACACACATATATACGTATATACATATATACACATATATACATATGTATATACATATATATAATATGTGTATATATATATATTTTGTTTTGTTTTGTTTTGAGACAGAGTTTTGCTCTTGTTGCCCAGGCTAGAGTGCAATGGTGTGATCTCGGCTCACCGCAACCTCTGCCTCCTGGCTTCAAGTGATTCTCCTGCCTCAGCCTCTCGAGTAGCTGGGATTACAGGTGTGCACCACCACACCTGGATAATTTTGTATTTTTAGTAGAGACGGGGTTTCTCCATGTTGGTCAGGTTGGTCTCAAACTCCCAACCTCAGGTGATCCACCCGCCTTGGCCTCCCAAAGTGCTGGGATTACATGCGTGAGCTACTGCGCCTGGCCACGTCTTTATAATTTTTAGTGTAACTTTTTACAAGCGTAAGAACTGTGTTTAGCTGCCACTGCTTTACCCGACTGATATACTTAAGAATAGACTCTCAGGATCTCTTGGCAAGTACAAGCAATCTTTAAAAATAAGAAAGAAGTCAGGTGCCATGGCTCACGCCTGTAATCCCAGCACTTTGGGAGGCCGAGGCAGGAGGATATTTTGAGTCCAGGAGTTTGAGACCAGCCTGGGCAACATAGGGAGACCCCATCTCTACAAAAAACAAAAACAAAAAACTTTGGTGTGGTGGCACATGCCCGTGGTCCCACCTACTTGGGAAGCTGAGGTAGGAGGATTGTTTGGACCTGGGAGGTAGACAGGCTGCAATAAGCCATGATTGTGCCACTGCACTCCAGCCTGGGTGACAGATAAATAGGAAAAAGAAAAATCTAAATTGAAGTTTTCGTGTTATCAGGTAAATAAGTTGCTAGAAGCCAGGTGCCGTGGCTCACGCCTGTAATCCCAGCACTTTGGGAGGCCAAAGCGGGCAGATCCCCTGAGGTCAGGAGTTTGAGACCAGTCTGACCAACATGGAGAAACCCCGTCTCTACTAAAAATACAAAATTAGCCAGGTGCAGTGGCTCACGCCTGTAATCCCAGCACTTTGAGAGGCCGAAGTGGGCAGATCACCTAAGGTCAGGAGTTCAAGACCAGCCTGACCAACATGGAGAAACCCCGTCTCTACTAAAAATATGAAATTAGCTGGGTGTGGTGGCACATGCCTGTAATCCCAGCTACTTGGGAGACTGAGGCAGGAGAATCTCTTGAACCTGGGAGGCAGAGGTTGCGGTGAGCCAAGATGGCGCCATTGCATTCCAGCCTGGGTAACAAGAGCAAAACTCAAAAAAAAAAAAGAAAAAAGAAAAAAGAAGTTGCTAGTGATGATGTAGCAACTCTTAGCACAGCCTGGTCCCAGTGGAGGCCATGCCATATAACTTTTTTTTTTTTTTTTTTTGAGACGGAGTTTTGCTCTTGTCACCCAGGCTGGAGTGCAATGGTGCGATCTTGGCTCACTGCAACTTCCGGTTCAAGCAATTCTCCTCCCTCAGCCTCCTGAGTAGCTGATATTACAGGGACATACCACCACGCCCAGCTGACTTTTATATTTTTAGTAGATTTGGGGTTTCACTAGGTTGGCCATGCTGGTCTTGAACTCCTGACCTCAGGTGGTCTGCCCCCGCCCCCCCCCAGCCTCCCAAATGCTGGGATTACAGGTGTGAGCGACTGCACCCAGCCAACATTTTTTTAATGTTTGTGTTTTGATGAGCTCTGAGAACTTGCGAGTGAATGGTTTTGTCATTTTAAGTATTCTCTGATATAAAGGAAAAAGAAAAACTTTCGTCAGTGAATAAACTCTGAACCAAGTGCTCATGAGGCCATTGAATTTTTACAATCCTTTTTGACTGTATATCCTTAAAATGCCTTCCGTGGGTAAAGTGGACTACCTTCCAGTTGTGTCATTTTGTGTGTCTGCAGCGCAGGTAGCTTGGCTGATTCACCAAAGAAAAAGGAATTGGCTCCATCAGCACTCCCCCCCTGGAGGCAGTGTGGGGTTGCAGGGGTTTAGGATCACAGCCAAGACCGGTCCTAAGACCACTTACTGACCTTGGGCAATTGACCCTGAGGGACATTGCTCTGAGGCCCAGTTTCCCCATCTGTTAAATGAGACACCACTTACCGTGGGTTGCTTGATGCAGTGATTAAATGCCGTAACACTAATGGTACCAGCCAGGCATGGAGAAGTAAGTTAGCCATCTGCTAAAAAATGAAACAGAAAGCCATGCCTGTAATGAAAAGGGTATTGTCACTCATGTCCTTCAGTTGGACTCTTTACTTTGTGCATGAATGACAGTCAATCCTCAGTGTAATTTGTTGAAAGGCTGGAATGAACTTGTGGGAATTGTAAGATTGAGATGTGGCCAGAACTTCCAGGTGATTGGGAGGAGGGGATGGTGGGATGGTGGCATGTAGTGCTAACGTTGATTTACCTTGATTAGGATAGTAATTTACTGCACATTTTTCACAAAAAGGCTAATCAGGGAGTACAGCTGTAAAAGTAATTCACATCTTCGGCAATCTGTATCTTTGTGCTGGCTTGGAAAATCCATGGCTTGTCTTAATTTGTGATGTTTTCTCTTGTTTTATAATCCAGTGACATTTAATTTTTAGGTTCTATTTAATATTTATGTTCTTTGTAAATCTGCAGAGCAAATACCTTAGTGTCTCCCTGCTTAGCCTGATTTAGCAGGGGGCAGATGTTCATATTTCATGATTTGGGTTAAATTTCATTGAAGGCACTCATTCTCCTGGTAGGAGTTTTAGAGTTACTAATTAAATTCTTAACCTCTGGTTCTCTTCCTTTGACATGTGGGAGTGGTTTTTTCAAAATATCCAAGACATTTTCTGACTCATTAACACATCCTTTTTTATTGAGGAGTCAGAGGAATACGCCTATGTTTAGAAAGCCTTTCCTTAGTCAAGACATGAATGAGTCGCACCTGTGTGAAATGATGCCTTGTTTAAAAGGTCATAACCTCCCAATGGTAGTGTAGGAAATGAGGTCATCTTCACTTCTTGTTCAGGGTGAATGAAAGTTAAATTTATTAGTTGGAATAATATATGTGTGGCATTGCTCCTACTGCTAATAAAGATTGTAGCTATGAGGTGCTTGCCCTTCATTTATGAACTGTTACAATGTTAATTTTCTCAATGTCCTATCATTTATAAAAGAAAAACCATAAATTTTAATCAAGTTTTATTTTATTTTATTTTTTTCGAGACGGAGTCTCGCTCTGTCGCCCAGGCTGGAGTCCAGGGGTGCAATCTCAGCTCACTGCAACCTCCGCCTCCCGGTTTCAAGCGATTCTCCTGCCTCAGCCTCCCGAGTAGCTGGGATTACAGGCACCCACCACCACGCCTGGCTAATTTTTGTGTTTTTAGTAGAGACGGGGTTTCACCATGTTGGCCAGGCTGAGCTCAAACTCCTGACCTTGTGATCCATCTGCCTCAGCCTCCCAAAGTGCTGGGATTACAGGTGTGAGCTACCACGCCCGGCCAATAATCAAAGGTTTTAATAGGTAGTATTTTCCAACACTCAGTATTTAGAGTTGAATTGAGATAGTCACTGAAAAATGACTTAGTCTCAGGCTGAAAGTGTATGGCTTTTCACTGCCTTTTACACTTGTTTAAGCAAATGAGAACTTTTTTTTTTTTTTTGACATCCTTCCTGAGATGGAAGAATGTTTATTGAGGCAGAAGAATTTTTGGAAGTCTGACATGTCAGTGTGTATGTGTGACTAGACTCTGGCTTTTAGCCATATGACCTTGGACAAGTCTCTTGACTTTCCTGAATCTTGTTTTCTCTAAAATCATTGGGTCGGGATAATTATCTATAATTTTCTTTCTTTACATCATTTTTTTGTGGGTGAAAGGCCCAGGTATAAAAAAGCTCCATCTCTCCATCTGGTTCTGAAAGTTCTGCTATTATTATTTTTTTCTTTGTGCCCTGGGATGAGGGATGATTTTAATAATCAGAAGATACAAAGAACATAAATGGTGATAGCAAAGTTCCTGGGTTCTAGGGCAGGGAATGTTGTCTTGACACTTTTATAGCCCTTCATCCAAGGAGGCTTTTTATTCAGAGGAGGATTTACATCTTACTCTGCCCATAGCAGGCTGATGACATTTCACACATACTAGGCACTGACTGCATAACTTTTCAGCGAATGCCTGCTTATGATGCAATTAAACATTAACAGTCACCAAGCTGGATTTTATTTTCACATAGTACTGTATTCAGTGACTGTTTGTTGAAGGAACTCACTGATGAATGTCTGACTGACTTTAGCCCTTAGTAAAGGCTTGAGGATTTAATGTGCAGTATAAGGATTTAATTGTGCTATTTCTATTTTGTGTGTAAACTCAGTTTAGTGTCTTACAAAACATAATTAGAAATCTGAAACCTAAGCAGTTTGGCTGAGTGGACCCACTCTCAGGAGGCAGCACTGCCTCAGTTGGAAAAATTGCTTAGGAAATACAGGGGTGCCGAGTGGGGTCTTGAGCCATTTTTCCTGGGGCATAGTAGTGGGCAAGGCAGGTAGCCTGACCCCGACACTTCTTTCTACAACTTACAGTATGTCACAAGGATTTGTGGGCAAGTTAGAAAGTCAACACATCAACTTTCTTGAGAACTTTTCTAAGGAATCGACTGTAGAGAGGCACCTTTTAAAGGCTCCTGGAAATAAACTAGCTTTGGTGGCATGTTCTGAAATTCTGAGCTGGCAAAGAGACTACTACCAAATTATATAGCTCTAAATTTTAAATTTCAGGGGGCCTGGGGCCTGGGGGTGGTGACAGTAGTAATTTGGTTACTTTCTCTGGGCCCAGCTGTCTGTTAACAGCATTCAATAAAAGCTCTGGGTCGGGGGTAAGAGAAATGCATTCAGGTTTTAGATGTCTTTGTTTTTTCTTATATTGTTCACAGCAGCCATTGTTTGATGTCCTGTGACTGAGAAACCAGGCTTTAAACTTTATGCCTTTGGAGATGGAGCCCAAGATGAGCAAACTGGCCTTTGGCTGTCAGAGAAGTTCCACATCAGATGATGACTCTGGCTGTGCATTGGAGGAGTACGCCTGGGTCCCCCCGGGCCTGAGACCAGAGCAGGTAGGAACTTCATCATCCTATATTTACTCTTTGTTTTTCAGTGTGAGTTCAGACTTTAGAACATTATTTTGTAAATGGATAGAACATCACTGAGATGCTGGAATACCACCCTCCTCAGTCCTTATTCTTCTTTGTATGGCTTTGAAGTTTTACTTTTGAAGGTCATATTTAGTTTCTCAATGGAAGTTTCCAATCTCGTCGTACCCATGGTTCCAGAAGCCTCATAAGGATCCCATTTTTGCTCTAATGAATGAAATCCAGAGTACTACATATGCATTGGTTATGTGTATTTCGGATGAATCCCTCTTGAGAGTGAGAGGAATTTCCCTTTTAAAAAACTTCTGTGACAACAAAAAGGCAATAAAAGAAAAGAGAAAAGTTTCCATGCCAGTTCTCAGCAATGCTTTTGCTTTGGAAGCGAGATAGTGAGCTATCAGAAACCCTCTGAAGTGTTACTGCTTAGACGTTTGACCTTTGATAACTTTGCATATAAAAGAGCCTGTCACTTACACCACAGGGATTGGAAAAAAAATTAAAGAGTTAATTTTATGCTTTGTTTGTATTGTTATTTTAGGGAAGATGAGAACATTCCATATGCCTATTTAATTTTCCCAATATCTTTACAATGATTAACTTGTTGAAAATCACTGGCGATATTATTAAAAGAGCAGAGGCATCATTTGAAAATAAAGTTGACAGTGGGGTATGTGGTTGCTTTGCTTCTGATGTTAGGGTTCTGTTTCCTGTAGGGTGGGACGTTTTATGAGAATAGGGTATCCTTATTTATCCATGGCATAGCACAGTACCTGGCACGCATGTAGCTGATATTCAGTAAGTGTTTATAACTGTAAAAAGCTTCTAGAGCTGATAGAATGGGGAGAGGGTGGAGTGCTGGTGAAGCAGTTAGAAAAGCAATATTTTGACAAACTACTTAGAGAGAATCCCTTCTTACAACTTAGAGTGGGTAGGTTTTGTGTGGTACTAAGGTATTGAAGTAGACAGGCCCTAAATTCCTGTCTCCTGTCTTTTTTTTCTTTTATTCCTTCTCAGCTCTGCAGTATCCTTTGCAGTACTCATTAAGGGATGTTCCTTTAAAGACATCAGAAAAACAAACAAGCAGAAATTAAGTTTTCCTTTCAGAGTGAGCAAAGTACAGCTCAATGTGGCTTCTCTCCAGTTTGCCTGGGGAGGCTGACTTCAGGTATTCAGAAAATAGCACTCATGGAAGCAAAGAAAGCTGATGTTTGAGAGAACCTGATAAAGAAGAGTTTACAACATTTAGCAAAACAGCCTTTGTCTTTGTGTTGTGTAAAATTCAGAGAGCAAATTAAATGTGTTCGTGTAGTGGCTGGATTTTGGACCATTTCACACAGTCTGTGTAGTAATTTGCAGGATTCACCCAGGACTCTCTCTCTTGCTGATCTCTTGTCTGACCCCTTGGAAGACTGGCTGAGGAGGAGTAGTCTTTTTTTTTTTTTTGAGACGGATTCTTGCTCTGTCACTCAGGCTGGAGTGCAGTGGCGCGATCTTGGGTGACTGCAACCTCTGCCTCCCAGGTTCAAGCGATTCTCCTGCCTCAGCCTCCCGAGTAGCTAGGATTACAGGCGTGCATCACCACGCCCAGCTAATTTTTGTAGTTTTAGTAGAGACAGGGTTTCACCGTGTTGGTCAGGCTGGTCTCGAACTCCTGACCTCAGGTGATCCACCAGCCTCAGCCTCCCAGAGTGCTGGGATTACAGGCGTGAGCCACACCACCGGGAAGAGTGGTCTTAAATGTGCATATTTTATGGTGCATAATTTATGATGTCCCTAATTGTCACTACAAATTACATTCCTGAAGAGCAATTTAGCAGCTGGGTGCTAGTTATCTGAAGGTTTGCAGTTCTGCTGAGTTGGCTCAGCTGGTCTTCTCATTAGCTACAAGAGGCCAAACCCTGTACCTAGGGAAAGGTAACTTTTAAAGATTAAGTGAGCTGAGATGCTCAGTTCTGTATGTTGATGCCATTCTCACTGTCTCTTTTGCAGATCCAGCTCTATTTTGCTTGCTTACCAGAGGAAAAAGTTCCTTACGTTAACAGCCCCGGAGAGAAGCATCGGATTAAACAGCTTTTGTACCAGTTACCACCACATGATAATGAGGTAAAATAGCAGGAAGAAGGCTAATTAGAAAAAAGAAGAAAAAATGCATGAGAAGCATTGAGATGCTGCTCATAAACCCCAACTCCTCACTGGCGAGGGCTCCCTTTTGCCTTTCTTTAGTTAAAATTTGGCCAGAGAATACAGCTTTCCATTCTTTGAGAGAAAGAGAGAAAAGAGTATCAGTGTAATAAACTTAACACAAGTTGGTTTTTATAGTGTTTGCAGCCACCCACCAATGATCAGGAACCTACAAATTCCTGAGATTTCCCAGCCCCTGCATCCAGAGTGAATGCTTTATGGTCATTCAGGCCTGCAGTTGAGTTGAGTGCATGTAGAATGGAGAGTAAAAGTGGCAATTAACAAGTTTAAACCTTTTGTGGAAAGGTTAATGTCCTATATATATTTTTTAATTCTGTGTTGATAAGGGTTTTCAATTAAACATTTCTTATTTAAAAAAAAAGTATTCCTTCACATTGCATTTCCCTTTTTCTAGAGAGGCTGTAAAATTCAGATATGGTGTCATTTTAAAATCGTGGGGGTGTGACACAGGCGAGCTAAACTTACTGTTTCACTTCCTGAAACCCTAACTCTGGAAGTAGAGAACTGGTGAGAAAGACTGTGCACTCAGTGTGGTGTTTCTGTTTTGCTTTCTGTGAAGGTACGGTATTGCCAGTCTTTGAGTGAAGAGGAGAAAAAAGAGTTGCAGGTGTTCAGTGCTCAGCGGAAGAAAGAAGCACTGGGAAGAGGAACAATTAAGCTTCTGTCCAGAGCAGTCATGCATGCTGTGTGTGAGCAGGTGAGCAGCCCCTTCTCTGATGCGTAGCTTGTGGCAGTGATGTGGATGGGGTGGACAGTCGGGGGTAGGTGACTGGACTAGCAGAGGTGTGGGTCCTGAAAGCCTCCAGAAAATGAGAGAAAGACAGCCTAGCTTTTTATTAAATAGCAAATCATGTTTCATATTTGTAACTAGCTACACTGCTGTGTATGACAGCAGGAGTCAGTCACCCTTATGCAAACATTGGGTGAAATCCTGCCTTTGGTAGGATCCTGGCATGGAGGTAGGTGCTAGGATACATCTCGTATTCAAAAGATGCAGAAACATAATGAAGACATTCAGATCTTTGCTGGCAGTTCTCAGAGTAGGAAATGTATCCAGCAGGAGGCTGGCACAGGAAAACCACTATTTGTGTGAATCAGATTACACCGTCCTTAGAAATAGTTGTAGTATGTCTGAGACACGTGCCTTACAGTGGAGAATCACCAGTAATCCAGCATTAAAGAGCTATTTAATCACTAAAAGAGGTAGCAAAAATAAATACATTCCTGACAAATTCGAGATTTATCCTAAAGTAGGAAAGCCTGAGAATCCTGTCTTTAAAAAATGATCCTTTTACATTCAAACCCATTTGTTTGTAGTGTGGTTTGAAGATAAATGGAGGTGAAGTTGCAGTGTTCGCCTCCCGTGCGGGCCCTGGTGTGTGCTGGCACCCATCCTGTTTTGTCTGTTTCACGTGTAATGAGCTGCTGGTCGACCTCATCTATTTTTATCAGGATGGAAAAATTCACTGTGGCAGGCACCATGCAGAACTGCTCAAACCACGGTGCTCAGCATGTGACGAGGTAAAAAAAAGTTCATCCTTTCACACTGGGAAAAATAAGCTTAGATTAAGCCAATATTCCACTGTTTACATCAAGCAAAATACTAAAATTTCCTGGATTTTGTTCTGTGTGCATGTTTTAAACATAATCCTGTACATTCATACAATGAAATGATCTATATTTGGTTGCTGCAAAAGTAATTGCGGTTTTTTGCCATAATGGTCAAAACCGCAATTAATTTTTCACCTTCCTGATAGAAAGGGAAGCAGATGTCTTTGTACTTTGATAAGTATTATGTCTTCAGTGGGTTGTGAGAAAATACAAGCTGCAGAAGAGCATGTAGTAGATGGTCTCATTTTTGTTAAGAATTTAAAAAACAATATGATATATGTATTTGTTTATGCTCAGAAAAGGTATGGAAAGACAAATACCAAATTAATAGTAGTTACCCTCGGGGAAGGTGGGAATGGATGATGGCTTGAAAGGAAAAATTTTTTCCCTTTAGCTTTTTATTTTAAAATAATTTTAGATTTACAGAAGAGTTGCAAAGCTATTACAGAGAGATCCTGCATGCCCTTCTCCCAGCTTCCCCTGACACTAACGTCTTACATAACCATAATATATGTATCAAAACTAAGAAATTATCAGCAGTGTAATACCATTAACTAAACCATAGTCTTTGTTTAGATTTTCCCAGTGTTTTAACAGATGCTCCTTTTCTTATCCAAGATCAATCCAGGGTGCTTCATTGCATTTACTCGTTGTATCTTCTTAGTCTCCTTCAATCTATGACAATAAACTTTGTTTTTATTTTTATACATTCATTTACTTTATACATTTTTTTCAACAATGTTCTATTTGAACATATTTTTGTTTTTGTTTTGTTTTGATTTATTTTTTTGGGATGGAGTTGCTCTCTGTTGCCCAGGCTGGAGTGCCGTGGTGCAATCTTGGCTCACTGCAACCTCCGCCCCGCGTGTTCAAGTGATTCTTGCACCTCAGCCCCCCGAGTAGCTGGGATTGCAGGTGCCCACCACCACGCCCAGCTAATTTTTTTTTTTGTATTTTTAGTAGAGGCGGGCTTCACCATGTTGGCCAGGCTGGTCTCGAATTCCTGACCCCAAGAGATTCACCTCCCTCAGCCTCCCAAAATGCTGGGAATACCAGGGTGAGCCACCATGCTCCGCTGAACATATTTTGGAAACCAAAAATATAAAAAAAATGAAAGAACCTGCCGGGCTCGGTGGCTCACGCCTGTAATCCCAGCACTTTGGGAGGCCGAGATGGGCAGATCACGAGGTCAAGAGACAGAGACCATCCTGGCAAACATGGTGAAACCCCGTCTCTACTGAAAATACAAAAATTAGCTGGGCATGGTGGCATGCACCTTTAGTCCCAGCTACTCAGGAGGCTGAGGCAGGAGAATTGCTTGAACCCCAGGAGGCGGAGGTTGCAGTGAGCCGAGGTCACGCCATTGCACTCCAGCGTGGTGACAGAGCGAGACTCTGTCTCAAAAAAATAAAAAATAAAAATAAAAATAAAAAAAGAACCAGACTAGACCCCATGGTGAGACCCCGTCTCTGTCCCAAAATGTTTTTCAAATTAGCTGGGCATGGTGGTTGTGCCCTTGTGGTCCCAGCTACTCAGAAGGCAGAGGTGGGAGGATCGCTCAAGCCCAGGAGTTTGAGGCTGCAGTGAGCTATGATTGTGCCACTGTGCTCCAGCCTGGGCTACAAGTGAGACCCTGTCTCAAAAAAATAAAGAGTCCTTAATCTAGAGATGGCCACCAAGTCAAATAAAGCATTATCAACACAAATGCTGTTCACTCAATTCCAGCATCTGTGTAGCTATAACTGTGTTGAGTCCACAGACATTTTTATGAGTTTTCTTTCTACTAAAACACCAAATTATTTCACTAAATTATTTCCGTGTTAATGTGTTCTTTGCCAGATTATGCCAAGAAAATGTTATTGGGGAGCAAAAATATGACCAAATGAATTACCTCCGGTGTAGAATTCTGTTTTTTTAAAGTCAAAGCAAGCATTTATTATTTAGTTTGTTTTCTCAGCACTGTCAATTTATGCTCTAGTTTGTAGCTAAATCAAGTGTTAGATTTAAGCTTGTGACTCTAAGAAACAAGGTTAGCTATCTGATTTTTTTAAGAGCCAGTGTCTGTCCATTGCCCGGAAAACATGCAGTTACTTGGCCTTTAAAATAGTTCCTAATGATTTTCTTTCATTCTCTGGTTTCACATTTCTTTTTGAAGATAATTTTTGCTGATGAGTGCACAGAAGCTGAGGGTCGCCATTGGCACATGAAACACTTCTGCTGCCTTGAGTGTGAAACGGTCCTGGGAGGACAGAGGTATATCATGAAGGACGGCCGCCCCTTCTGCTGTGGCTGTTTTGAGTCTCTCTATGCGGAGTACTGTGAAACCTGTGGGGAACATATTGGTAAGTCCACAGCCAGCCCGTCTGCCCTGTCACCTAGCCATTAGTCTGTCTTGGATTATCCAGTCTTATTTTTTCTTTTTCTGTTTTTTAAAGTTGAGATATAATTTACATACAATGAAATGTACAGATCTTAAATGTTCCAGCTGATGAGCTTTGACAAATGAACAGAGAGTTGATTCTTGTTACTTGCAGTAGTTGTGTTCTGTGACGTTACTGCAAACACTGGATTAGTGAACACTGAACCATTGCTCATGGGGGAATACAGGGTTAGGTTCCTGTGAGCCTCTGGTCACAGCAGTTTCATCAACCCATCAATACATAACCTTGTTTCACGTGTGTTTTTGCTTAAAGCCACTGCCTTATTGAATGTACATTGTTGATGCATTAATATTGAACTCACAGCCAGTGGTACCGTACTCAAGATTAGGAGCTTACGTAATACATGTCTTTTCTCTGTAAGGCACATCACAGCCTTCTTGCCCTTAGCAACATGACAGCATTTCAGCATTATCAGCATTACACTTGGGGGCCATTTTAAACAGTAAACTCACCAACAAAGAGCACAAAAATGCAGAAAACGCGGCAGTAGATAGACCAGAAATAGGACACTTGTCTACAGTATGAGAGCTGAAACAAAAAGCTGAGCATCTCCTGGATCAGTGCATGTTGGTTCAGTTCGTATTTTTACCACTCTGCACATCTGCGAATGACCATGAAACTGTTGCGAATATTAGTTTGGGAGTTGTGAATAAATTTTTATGAGTAGGCACACTCACAAATACAGAATCCACAAAGAATGAGGATTAATTATATCTGTGTCACCCACACAGCTCCCCCATACCCATAATCTTTATTTATTTTCTTCGTTTCTTCCTTATACCTTGTTTCAGGCATTAAACCATAACCTGTTATTTATTCTATCCTTTTCAAAACAGGTGTGGACCATGCACAGATGACCTATGACGGGCAGCACTGGCACGCCACGGAAGCCTGCTTTTCTTGTGCCCAGTGTAAAGCCTCTTTGTTGGGATGTCCCTTCCTTCCCAAACAGGGTCAGATTTACTGCTCAAAAACGTGCAGTCTTGGTGAAGACGTCCATGCCTCTGATTCTTCCGACTCTGCATTTCAGTCAGCTCGATCAAGAGACTCCCGAAGAAGTGTCCGAATGGGCAAGAGCAGCCGGTCAGCAGATCAGTGTAGACAGTCTCTCCTCTTATCGCCTGCTCTGAACTACAAGTTTCCTGGCCTCTCAGGCAATGCTGATGACACCCTTTCTCGAAAATTGGATGATCTGAGTCTCTCCAGACAAGGAACAAGTTTTGCCAGTGAAGAATTTTGGAAAGGCAGAGTAGAGCAGGAAACTCCAGAAGACCCTGAAGAATGGGCTGATCATGAAGATTATATGACGCAGCTCCTCCTCAAGTTTGGTGATAAAAGCCTCTTTCAGCCACAGCCCAATGAGATGGATATTCGAGCCAGTGAGCACTGGATATCTGATAACATGGTTAAAAGTAAGACCGAGTTAAAGCAAAATAACCAGAGCCTTGCAAGTAAAAAATACCAGTCTGATATGTACTGGGCACAGTCACAAGATGGACTGGGCGATTCTGCTTATGGCAGCCACCCAGGCCCTGCAAGCAGTAGAAGGCTTCAGGAATTGGAACTGGACCATGGGGCTTCAGGGTATAATCATGATGAAACACAGTGGTATGAAGATTCCCTGGAGTGTCTGTCAGACCTGAAACCAGAGCAAAGTGTTCGGGATTCGATGGATTCTTTGGCATTGTCCAATATCACAGGTACGTAATCTAGGGATTATGGGGTATTTGAAAAAAGGAGCTACTAAAAAGTGTATTCAAAAAATTGCAATTCAAGCCAGGCGCAGTGGCTCATGCCTATAATTCCAGCACTATGGGAGGCTGAGGTGGGCAGATCATTTGAGGTCAGGAGTTCGAGACCAGCCCAGGCAACATGGCGAAACCGCGGCTCTACTAAAAATACAAAAATTAGCTGGGCATGGGCCTGTGATCCCAGCTACTCGGGAGGCTGAGGCAAGAGAATTGCTTGAACCCAGGAGGCAGAGGTTGTAGTGAGCCAAGATTGCGCCACTGCACTCCAGCCTGGGCAACAGAGCAAGACTCCATCTCAAAAAAAAAAAAAATTGCAATTCAGCATGAGTAGGAGTTGTGTGTTATTCAAAACCATGGATCAAGGGAAGGAAGGAACCTCACTTAAATACCAAACACTAGCAAAACAAACACATGTGTGAGGTGAGTGCATGTGCATAAAATATATTTACAGTGCAGTCTTTAGGGATAGGTTTTATTACCCTGTTTTGAAGAGAAGGAAATTGATTGGAGGAAGGAGTGTACAACTGGATTGTGTCTGAAAGATATTGTACGCTTGAATTATTCTGTATGTATTCTAAGATACCAAAATTGGCCCACACACTTTACAAGCTCTTTTTTTTTTTGAGGTGGAGTTTCGCCCTTGTCGCCCAGGATGGAGTGCAATGGCGCAGTCTCACCTCACTGCAACCTCCATCTCCCGGGTTCAAGTGATTCTTCTGCCTCTGCCTCCCCAGTAGCTGGGATTACAGGTGCATACCACCATACCTGGCTAATTTTTGTATTTTTAGTAGAGATGGGGTTTCGCCATATTGGCCAGGCTGGTCTCGAACTCCTGACCTCAGGTGATCCACCCGCCTCAGCCTCCCAAAGTGCTGGGATTATAGGCATGAGCCACCACGCCTGGCCACAAGCTCATTTTTTTTTTTAAACATCTTCCTGAATTTCCCTGTGACAGTAGCTCAAAAACAGCTGAATACTTTTTATTTAGATTCTAAAATATTACTGTAATGTTTTCTTTTTTTTCCTAGTTTTTTGTTTTGTTTTGAGATGGAGTTTCACTCTTGTCACCCAGGTTGGGGTGCAATGACGCGATATCAGCTCACTATAACCTCTGCCTCTCAGGTTCCTGAGTTTAAGCGATTCTCCTGCCTCAGCCTCATGAGTAGCTGGGATTATAGGCGCCTGCCACCACGCCCAGCTAATTTTTGTGAGACAGGCTGGTCTCAAACTCCTGACCTCAGGTGATCCACCTGCCTTGGCCTCCCAAAGTGCTGGGATTACAGGTGTGAGCCACTGCCCCTGGCCTACTTTAATGTTTTCAAAGCACAGTCATACCAGTTATCCACATTTTATCTTTAAAATGACCCTGAGCTATATAGAGTGGATGATATGATTGCATTTCACAAATGAGGAAACTTGAATTACCAAAAGGCTAAATGCCAAACATTACATAGGTTCTAAAGGCAAGATTAGGCCTAGAACCTAGGACATTATGCAAATTATTTGCAACAAGTCTTTGGATTATAGAAATGTTGCTGTTGCATGGCTAGTTTTATAGTCAAACTACTGACATCCAGCCCTTTGATGAAGGTAATGCTTCTGTAATGTAGACAGGAAAGGCTTAGTAGCTGCTTCCTGCCAGGAATAACTTGTGCCAGACACTGCAGTGACAAGGAAGGGTACGGCAAAGCTACCCCCCCGGCTTCTGTGGACTTGTCAAAGATAAGGCCGGCAATAAAGGGGAGTTGAGGAAGAATGGTGGGTGAGACTGAGTAAGCACCTTTTGTCTGCCAGGCCCAGTGCTAGGAGTTTTAAATTTAATATCAGAAATAGACATAATTTGGCCAGGTGTGGTAGCTCACACCTGCAGTCCCAGCACTTTGGGAGGCCCAAAGCAGGTGGATCACCTGAAGTCAGGAGTTCGAGACCAGCCTGGCCAACATAGCAAAACCCTGTCTCTACTAAAAATACGAAAATTAGCCAGGCATGGTGGCATGTGCCTGTAATTTCAGCTACTCGGGAGGCTGAGGCAGGAGAATCACTTGAACCTGGGAGGCGGAGGTTGCAGTGAGCCGAGATCATACCACTGCACTCCAGCCTGAGTGACAGAGCAAGACTCTGTCTCAAAAAAAATAAATAAAAGAATTAAACATAACTTGGTACACATTTAAGTGTTAGGGGCTGACATTCCTTGACAATAATAAGCTGAAAAATAGGCCCCCTTTAAAAAGTATGAAGTTATATAGGGCCGGGCGCGGTGGCTCACACCTGTAATCCCAGCACTTTGGGAGACCGAGGCGGGCAGATCACGAGGTCAGGAGATCAAGACCATCCTGGCTAACACAGTGAAACCCCGTCTCTACTAAAAATACAACAAATTAGCCAGGCGTGGTGGCGCATGCCTGTAATCCCAGCTACTCGGGAGGCTGAGGTGAGAGAATGGCATGAACCCAGGAGGCGGAGCTTGCAGTGAGCTGAGATGGTGCCACTGCACTCCAGCCTGGGCGACAGAGCGAGACTCCATCTCAAAAAAAAATAAGTACGAAGTTATGTAGTCTCCAGTTGACAACAGTATCACTTTGTCTATAGGGCTATATGTATTTATCTTAACATGCCTGGGTCCTATTATATCAAAAGAGATCAATATCTGTTTTGTTAAATGTTTCAATAGAAGATTAATCTGGAAGTGGCATATTTTACACGTTGAAGGCAGAAAAGACTGGATGAAGATCTAGGTCAGGGGTTGAGCAAACCTTTTCTATAATGGGCTCGATAGCCCTTTTTAGGCCTACGGTCTCTGGTGTGACTACTTAGCTCTGCCACTGTAGAAAGCAGCTATAAACAATATGTAAACAAATAGGTGTGGCTGTTCCAATAAAACTTGATACACAAACAAGCTGTTGAGCTGTAGTTTGCTGACCACTAGCCTCAGTATAAGATGAGGAAGACTAGCTCATGATGGAGACCAAGGAGGGACTGATGTGAAAGATCTCCAAATGAAGCAGTGTGGCTTTAATGAATTGAGGAGCAGAAGCTTCTACATCTTATGTTAATGAATGAACAGGCTGCTGTGAAGAGCTCTTAAAGTTTTGCTGCTCATGCCATGTGCCGTAACTACTTAACTAATCTTTGACTCCAGGCTTATAAGAGAACCTGTGCCCCAGGCCAGGTGCAGTGGCTCATACCTGTAAACCCAGCACTGTGGGAGGCCGAGGTGGGTGGATCACCTGAGGTCGGGAGTTCGAGACCAGCCTGACCAACATGGAGAAACCCCGTCTTTACTAAAAATACAAAAGTAGCCAGGTGTGGTGGCACATGCCTGTAATCCCAGCTACTCAGGAGGTTGAGGCAGGAAAACTGCTTGAACCTGGGAGGTGGAGATTGTGGTGTGCCGAGATAGCGCCATTGCACTCCAGCCCGGGCAACTAGAGCAAAACTCTGTCTCAAAACAAAACAAAAAAACAAAACAAAAAAGGCTGTGCCCACCCCTTATAACAATAACTGCATTTATACCACTTCTCAATTGGCATAGATACATGTTGGCTTTCCCTATGGGTTTTAATCAAATATTGAGATTGGAAATTTTCTTTGAAATATTTCCTTTCAGTAGCTTACTTTTAAGTACTGTCGAATATTAGGATGATTGAGAAGCACATCTTGTTTTGGCCTCTCTTCTAGGGGCTTCGGTGGATGGAGAAAACAAGCCAAGGCCATCATTGTATTCTCTGCAAAATTTTGAGGAGATGGAAACAGAAGATTGTGAGAAGATGAGCAATATGGGAACTTTGAACTCTTCCATGCTGCACAGGAGTGCAGAGTCCTTAAAGAGTCTAAGTTCAGAGTTGTGTCCAGAGAAAATCCTGCCTGAAGAGAAGCCAGTACATCTGCCAGTGCTCAGAAGGTCCAAGTCTCAATCCAGACCCCAGCAGGTCAAGTTTTCTGATGATGTCATTGACAATGGGAACTATGACATTGAAATCCGGCAGCCTCCGATGAGTGAAAGGACTCGGAGACGCGTCTACAATTTTGAAGAGAGGGGATCCAGGTCTCATCACCACCGCCGCCGGAGAAGTAGAAAGTCCCGCTCCGACAATGCCCTGAATCTTGTTACAGAAAGAAAATACTCTCCCAAGGACAGACTGCGGCTGTACACCCCCGATAACTATGAGAAATTTATACAGAATAAAAGTGCCCGGGAGATCCAAGCATACATCC